>NT_113793.3:0-209709 GCF_000001405.40 Homo sapiens
GAATTCAATGGAATGGAATTCAATGGAATGCAATGAAATACAATGGAATGGAATGCAATGCAATGCAATGCAATGGAATGCAAAGGAATGGATGGTGAAATTAAATGTGAGCTGAGATAGTGCCACTGCACTCCAGCCTGGGTTACACAGTGAGATCTTGTAGAAAGTTAGGAATGGAATGGAATGGAGTAAAATGGAATGGAATGGAATCGAATGGACTGCAGGGGAGTGGAGTGGAATGGATTGTAATGGAGTTGAATGGAATGGGATGGAATGGAATGGAATGGAGTTGACTGGAGTGGAGTGGAGAGGAGTGGAGTGAAATGGAATGGGATGGAATGTAATGGAGTGGAGTGGAGTGGAGTGGAGTGGATTTGATTGGAGTGGAGTGGAATGGAGTGGAACGGAATGGAATGGAATGGAACGGAATGGTGAAATGAAATGTGAGCTGAGATTGTGCCACTGTATTCCAGCCTTTTTTGACACAGTGAGATCCTGTCAAAGGAAAGAAATGGAATGGAATGGGTTGGAATGGAATGGAGTGGAATGGAATGGAATGGAATGGAATGGAGTGAAATGGAAAGGTGAAATGAAATGTGAGCTAAAATTGTGCCACTGCACTCCAGTCTCGGTGACAGAGTGAGATCCTGTCGAAAGAAAATATCGGAATGGAATGGTGTGGACTGGAATGGCATGTAGTGGAATGGAGTGGAAAGGAGTGGAATGGAATAGGATGGAATGAAATGGAGTGGAGTGGAGTAGTGTGGAATGGAATGGAGTGGAGTTGAGTGGAAAGGAGTGGAGGGGAGTGGAGTGGAATAGAATGGAATGCAATGGAATGGTGAAAAGAAATGCGTGCTGAAATTGTGCCACTGCATTACAGCATGTGACAGAGGGAGATCCTGTCGAAGAAAAGGAGTGGAATGGAAGGGATTAGAATGGAATGGAATGGAATGGATTGAAGTTGAGTGGAGTGGAATTGAGTGGAGTGGAGTGCAGTGGAATGGAATGAAATGGAGTGGAATTGTGAAATAAAATGTGAGCTGTTATTGTGCCACTGCACACCAGCCTAGGTGACACAGTGAGATCCTGTCAAAAGAAAAGAATGGAATGGAATGGAGTGGAATGGAGTGGAATTTAATGGAATGGATTGGAGTGGAGTGGAGTGGAAAGAGTGGAATGGAATGGGATGGAATGGAAAGGAGTGGAGTGCAGTGGAATGGAGAGGAGTGGAGTGGCATGGATTGGAGTGGAGTGGAGTGGAGTAGAGTAGAATGGAATGGAATGGAATGGAGTGGAGTGGAATGGAATGGAATGGAATGGAATGGAATGGAGAAATGCAATGGGAGCTGAGATTGTGCCACTGTACTCCAGGATGTGTCAGAGAGAGAGATAGTCTCGAAAGAAAGGAATGGAATGGAATGCAGTGGAATGGAATGGAATGGAATGGAATGGAATGGGGTTGACTGGAGTGGAGTGGAGTGGAGTGAAGTGGAGTGGAGTGGAGTGGAATGGCGAGGAGTAGAATGGGATGGAATGGAATTGAATGATGTGGAGTGGAGTCGGGTGGAGTGGAGTTCATTGGAATGGAGTGGAATGGAGCGGAATGGAATGGGATGGAGTGGAATGGAGAGGAGTGGAGTGCAGTGGAGAGGAGAGGAGTGGAATTGAGTGGAATGGAATCGGATATAATGGAATGTAGTGGAGTAGAGTGGAGTGGAGTGGTGTGGAAAGAAGTGGAATGAAATGGAATTGAATTGAATGGAATGGAATTGAATGCAATGCAATGGAAAGTTGACATGTAATGTGAACTGAGATTGTGCCACTGCACTCCAGCCTGGGTGACACAGTGATATCCTGTCGAAAGAAAGGAATGGAATGCAATGGAGTGAAATGTAATGGAATGGAATGGAGTGGAGTGGAGGGGAGTGGAGTGGAGTGGACTGGAGTGAAATGGAGTCGATTGGAATGAGATGGAGTGAAATGGAATGGAGTGGAGTGGACTAGAGTGAAATAGAGTGGAAAGGAATTGGATGGAATGGAATGAAATGGAATAGTGAAAAGAAATTTGAGCTGAGATTGTGCCACTGCACTCCAGCCTTTGTGAAAGAGTGAGATCCTATGGAAAGAAAGGAATGTGATGGAATGGAGTGGAATTGTATGGAATGGAATGGAGTGAAGTGGAGTGGAGTGGAGTGGAGTCGAGTGCAATGGAGTGGAATGGAATGGGATGGAAAGGAATGGCATGGAGTGGAGTAGAGAGGAGTGGATTGGAGTGGAGTAGATTAGCATGGAGTGGAATGGAATGGGATGGAATTGAATGCCATGGAATGAGGTGGAGTGGAGTGGACTGGATGGAGTGGACTGGATTGGAGTGGAGTAGAGTGGAATGGAGTGGAGTGGAATGGAATGGAATGGAATGGAATGCAGCGGAAAGCAATGGAATGGAATGCTATGGAATAGATTGGAATGGAGTGGTGAAATGAAATGTGAGCTGATTTTGTGCCAATGCCCCCCAGTCTGGTTGACAGGGTTACATGCTGTCAAAAGAAAGGAATGGAATGGAATGAATTGGAGTGGAGCTGAGTGGAGTGGAGTGGTGTGGAGTGGAATGGAGTGGAATGGAATGGGATGGAGTGGAATGGAATGGAGTGTATTAAGTGGAGTGGCATGGAGTGAAATGCAGTGGAATGGAATGCGACGGAATGGGATGGAATAGAATGGAGTGGAGTGGAGTGGAATAGAGTGGACTGGAGTGGAATGGAGTGGAATGTAATGGAATGGAATGGAGTGGATTGGAGTGCAGTGAAGTGGAGTGGAATGGAATGGAATGGAATGGAATAGTGAAATGAAATGTGAGGTGGGATTCTGCCACTGCACTCCAGACTGGGTGACAGAGTGACATCCTGTCGAATGTGAGGAATGGAGCGGAATGGAGTGGAATGGAATGTAGTGGAGTGGAGTGGAATGGAACGGAGTAGAAAGGAATGGAACGGAATGGAGTGGAGCGGAGTGGAGAGGAGTGGAGTCGAATGGAATGGAATGGGATGGAATCGAATGGAATGAAGTGGAGGGGAGTGGAGTGGAGTTTTGTGGAGAGGAGTGGAGTGGTCTGGAATTGGATGGAACTGAATGGAGTTCAGTGGAGTTGGGTGGAGAGGAATGGAGTACACTGGAGTGGAATTGAATGGAATGGAATGGAGTGGAGTTGAGTGAAGTGGAGTGGAGTGGAGTGGAATGCAATGTAGTGGAATGGAATTGAATGGAATGGAAAAGAATGGAATGGAATAGAATGGAATGATGAAATGAAATATGAGCTGAGATTGTGCCACTGCACTCCAGCAGGGTGACAGAGTGAAATCCTGTTGAAAGAAAGGAATGGAATGGAAAGGACTGGAATGCAATGGAATGGAATAGAGTGGAGTGGAGTGGAGTGGAGTGGAGTGGAGTATAGTGGAAGGGAGTGGAATGGAATGGGATGGAATGGAATGGAGAGGAATACACTGGAGTGTAGTGGAGTGGAATGGAATGGAATGGAATGGAATGGAATGGAATGCAGTGGAGTTTAGTTCACAAGAGCGGAATGGAATGGGATGGAATGGAATGGAATGCAATGGAATGGAATGCAATGGAATGCAATGGAATGGAATAAAATGGAATGCAATGGAAGGGAATTGTGAAATTAAATGTTAGCTGAGATAGTGCCACTGCACTCCAGCCTGTGTGACAGAGTGAGATCCTGTCGAAAGAAATTAATGGAATGTAAGGGTGTGAAGTATGATGGAATGGAATGGAATGGAGTGGAGTGGAGTGTAGTGGAATGGAGCGTAATGGAGTGGAATGGAATGGGATGGAGTGGAATGGAATGGAGTGGAATGGAGTAGATTGAATTGGAGTAGAGTGGAGTTGACTGGATTGAAGTGGAATGGAGTGGAGTGGAATGGAATGGAATGGAGGGGAGTGGAGGGAGGTGGAGGGGAATGGAGTGGAGTGGAATGGAATGGTGAAATAAAATGTGAGCTGAGATTGTGCCACTGTGTTCCAGCCTTTTTTGACATAGTGAGATCCCATCAAAAGAAAGGACTGGAATGGAATGGGGTGGAATGGAATGGAGTAGAATGGAACGGAGTGGATTGGATTGGAGTGGAGTGCATTGGAGTGGAGTGGAGTCCAGTGAAATGGAGTGAAATGGAATGGAAGGGAATGGAATGGCATGTAGTGGAGTGGGGTGGAGTGAATTTGAGTAGAGTAGGGTGGAATGGAGTGGAATGGAGTGGAATGGAATGGGATGGAAGGGAATGGCATGGAGTGTAGTGGAGTGGACTGGAGTGGGTTAGAATGGAATTGAATGGAATGGTATGGAATGGAATGGAATGGAATGCAATGGAATGGAATGGTGAAATTGAATGTGAGCTGAGATAGTGCGACTCCACTCCAGCCTGGGTGACAGATTGAGATCCTGTCAAAAGAAAGGAATGGAATTGAATGGAGGGGAATGGAATGGGATGGAGTGGGGTGGAGTGGAGTGGAGTGGAGGGGACTGGATTTGAGTGGAGTCTAGTGGAACAGAGTGGAATGGAATGGGGTGGAGTGGAACGGAATGGAATGGAGAGGAGTGGTGTGGAGTGGAGTGGATTGGAATTCAATTGGATGGAATGATATGGAGTGGAGTGGAATGGAATGGAATGGAATGGAATGGAATGGAATGGAATGGAATTGGAATGGAATGGAATGGAATGGAATGGAATGTTGTGGAGTGTATTGGAATGGAGTGGAATGGAGTGAAATGGAGTGTAATGTAATGTAGTGGAATGGAGTGGAGTGGAGTGCAGTGGAGAAGGGTGTAGGGGAATGGAATGGAATAGTGAAATGAAATGTGAGCTAAGATTCTCCCACTGCACTCCAGACTGTGTGACAGAATGAGATCCTGTCGAATGGAATTGAATAGAGTGCAATGGAATGGAGTGCAGTGGAGTGGAGCAGAGTGGAGTGGAGTGGAGTGGAATGGAATGGAATGGGATGGAATCGAATGGTATGAAGTGGAGGGGAATGGAGTTGAGTGGAGGGACGAGGAGTGGAATGGAATGGAATTGGAAGGAATGGGATGGAGTGGAGTGGAGTGGGGTGGAGAGTAGTGGAGTAGAGTGGAATGGAATGGAATGCAATGGAATGGAGTGGAGTGGAGTAGAGTGGATTGGAGTGTAATGGAATAGAATGGAATGGATAGGAATGGAATGGTATAGAATGGAATGATGAAATGAAATATGAGCTGAGATTGTGCCACTGCACTGCAGCCTGGGTGACAGAGTGAGATCCTGTCAAAGGAAAGGAATGGAATGGAAAGGTGTGGAATGGAATGGAATGGAATGGATTGATTGGAGTGCAGTGGAGTGGAGGTGAGTGGAGTTCACAGTAGTGCAATGGAATGGAATGGAGTGGAGTCGAGTGCAGTGGAGTGGGTTGGAATGGAATGGAGTGGAATGAAATGGGATGGAATGGAATGGAGTGGAGTGGAGTTCACAGGAGTGCAATGGAATGGGATGGAATGGAATGGAATGGAATGGAATGGAATGGAATGGAATGGAATACAATGGAGTGGAATGCAATGGAATGCAATCGAATGGAATTGTGAAATTAAATGTGAGCTGAGATAGTGCCACTGCACTCCAGCCTGTGTGACAGAGTGAGATCCTGTTGAAAGAAATTAATGGAATGTAAGAGAGTGAATTATACTGGAATGGAATGGATTGGAGTGGAGTGGAGAGGAATGGAGCTTAATGGAGTGGAAGGGAATGGGAAGGAGTGGAATAGAATGGAGTGGAGTGGAGTGGAGTGGAGAGAAATGAGGTAAAATGCAATGGGATGGACTGGAATGGAGTGGAGTGGAGTGGAGTGAATTGGAATGGAGTGGATTTGACTGGATTGCAGTGGAATGAAGTGGAGTGGAATGCAATGGAATGGAATGGAATGGAGGGGAGTGGAGTGGAGTTGAGGGAAATGGAGTGGAGTGGAATGGAGTGGAATGGAATGGAATGGAATGGTGAAATAAAATGTGAGCTGAGATTGTGCCACTGTGTTCCAGCCTTTTTTTGACACAGTGAGAGCCCGTCAAAGGAAAGGAATGGAATGGAATATGGTGGAATGGAATGGAGTGGAGTGGATTGGAGTGGAGTGGAGTGGAGTCAAGTGGAACGGAGTGGAATGGAATAGGATGGAATCGAATGGCATGTAGTGGAGTGGGATGGAGTGAATGTCAGTGGATTAGGGTGGAATGGAGTGGAATGGAATGGGATGGAAGGGAATGGCATGGAGTGTAGTGGAGTGGACTGGAGTGGGTTAGAATGGAATTGAATGGAATGGTATGGAATGGAATGGAATGCAATGCAATGGAATGGAATGGTGAAATTGAATGTGAGCTGAGATAGTGCCACTCCACTCCAGCCTGGGTGACAGATTGATATCCTGTCAAAAGAAATGAATGGAATTGAATGGAGGGGAATGGAATGGGATGGAGTGGGGTGGAGTGGAGTGGAGTGGAGGGGACTGGATTTGAGTGGAGTCTAGTGGAACAGAGTGGAATGGAATGGGGTGGAGTGGAACGGAATGGAATGGAGAGGAGTGGTGTGGAGTGGAGTGGATTGGAATTCAATGGGATGGAATGGTATGGAGTGGAGTGCAGTGGAATGGAATGGAATGGAATGGAATGGAATGGAATGGAATGGAGAGGAGAGGAATGGAGTGGAATGTAGTGTAATTGGAAAGGATGGAATGGAATGGAATGCCATGGAATAGAATTAGGAATAGAATGGAATGATGTGGAATGGAATGGAGTAGAATTCAGTGGAGTGGAGTGGAGTGGAGTGGAATGTAATGTAATGGAATGGGATGGGATGGAGTGGAATGGAATGGAGTGGAGTGGAGTGGAGTGGAATGGAGTGGAATGGAATGGGATGGGATGGAATGGAGTGGAGTGGAGTTGAGTGGATTGGAATCGAATGGAATGGAGTGGAGAGGAGTGTAGTGGAATGGAATGGAATGGAATGGAATAGAAGGGAATAGAATGGTGAAATGAAATGTGAGCTGCGATTGTGCCACTGCACTCCATCCCGGGTGACAGGTGAGATTCTATCGAAAGAAAGGAATGGAACGGATTAGAGTGGAATGGAATGGAGTGGGGTAGAGTGGAGTGGAGTGGAGTGGAGTAGAGTGGAATAAAGAGGAATGGAATGGGATGTAATGGAAAGGAATGCAGTGGAGTGGAGTAGAGTGGAGTGGAGTGGAGTGGTGTGGAGTGGAGTGGAGTGGAATGGAATGGAATGGAATGGAATGGAATGGAATGGCACGGTGAAATGAAATGTGGGCTGAGATTGTGCCACTTCACTACAGCCTGGGTGACGGAGTGAGTTCCTGAAGAAATAAAAGAATGTAATAGAATGGATTGGAATGAAATGGAATGGAGTGTAGTGGACTAGAGTAGAGTGGAATGAGGTGGAGTAGAGTGGAAGGGAATGGAATGAAATGAGATGGAATGGAATGGAATGTAATAGAATGGAATGAAGTGGAGTGGAGTGGAGTGCAAAAATCCTCAATAAAATGCTAGCAAACCGAATCCAGCAGCAAATCAAAAAGCTTATCCACCATAATCAAATGGGTTTCATCCCTGGGATGCAAGGCTGGTACAACATACGCAAATCAGTAAACGTAATCCATCATATAAACAGAACCAACGTCAAAAACCACGATTATCTCAATAGATGCAGAAAAGCCCTTTGACAAAATTCAACAACCTTCATGCTAAAAACTCTCAATAAATTAGATATTGATGGGACGTATCTCAAAATATTAAGAGCTATTTATGACAAACCCACAGCCAATAGCATACTGAATGGGCAAAACCTGAAAGCATTCCCTTTGAAAATCTCAGTTACCTTTCTTTTGGATATGTGTGTGAGGAAAGAGTACCTACAAACTACCCTTTTAGTTAAATGCCATATACAATAAATATTAATACCTACAGTCCTCATGTTGTACATTAGATCCCTCAATTTGTTAATTCTACATATCTGCAACTTTGCATCCTTCGAATTCTCTATCTCCATTTTCTCTTCTCACCCCCAGCCCCTGGTAACCACTGTTTTATACTCTATCTCTGCATATTTAACTTTTTGCTGTTTTTGTCCTGAGAAGTTTATTGGGACTTTCAGCTAGGAGATAATATGTTCTGAGTCTTGATTATCTCAAATTATAGCAGGTAAGAAGTTTTACTTGTCTGGAGAGCAGAGAGCAAGTGCATAATTTTATGCAGAAGAGGGAATAAAGAGAATTCTCTAATTAAAATTTGAATCAGAAATATGGTTCATATTTTTATGTACAACAATCTCTAAGGCTTCTTGGAAAGGAACTAGCTGCCTGATTTTTTTTCATTTGAATCCTCTAATACATGAAGAGGATGATTCTACCATACCAATCACAAGAATGATATCTGTAGAATCAAAAGTTGAAATCCTATTATCCTAGAACTTTTTTCAGAAAACTTGAACATGTATTGAAATGTCATGCTGGTCATATATGTTACAGCAATGAGGAATTTACTTATTATATACTTTAGCTTTTTAGCCCTTTCCCTGCCCACCAGAAATGTTTCTTTTGAATCCAATTTGGTCCTCAGAGTTTTAGAATGTTAAGGAATGTATAGGGGTTTCTTTTTTCTTCTTTTTTTTTGTCAAGCTATTGTATATTTTTACTTTACCTGTTTGGGTATGTAGTTACTATTTGTTTGGACTGTCATACTAGAAAAAAAATTATAGTGAATTTTACATGTATGGAGTCTTCATTAATCTGTATAAACTGACAAGTTTAGAATATCAAAGTCAACACTGTAAAAAATAAAGTGATATTTTATCTGGTCTATCTCCTTGCAAATAAAAGAACAATAAATTCTGTACTATTATGAAATATAAGAGCTTGAAAATTTTTCAAGTGCCCTGTATAGAATGGCCTTCGAAATCAAGGTATAAACTACAACAAAACACTTTCGAGATCTAGTTTGATTGAAGAGTGCATTCTTACTTATTTATATATTCTCTGCAATTTCTGATTCAAGATAGTCCACAATTCTAAAGGAAAACCAAAATAGAATAATAATTACAAAACAAAATAAAAAGTAATTGAGGAAGATAATTGAGCAACTTATTCTTGACAACTAGCTTTTTAACAAACAGAAAAGTGCACTAAAAATACTGCCTAGTTGTTTAAAGTAGGCTGAGATCTGACTGTATCCCCTGAGTGTCATAAAGAAAAAATTACCTTTGAGGGAGCACAGTGATTAAATTTAAAAGATTTATTGTTTAACCTCAGGAAGACTTTCAGTAACTTTTTATAAATTGTATACAGTTAATGGAAGACATGCTAGGCTTCTTGTAAGAATTTGTTCCAGATCACTGTGTATAATTAATGGCTTGTCTACATATTTTTTTCAATAAAACTGTTCATGAAGAATTTTAAGTATGCACTTTCAGTACCAGAATGAATATATCTTTGTGAAGATACCATTTATGTACCATAACATCCAAAGCATAATGAGGAGATTTTGATACACTGCAGATTTAAAACTGAGTTGGAAAACAAAACTTCAACATACTGTCTTGTCAGCACAAAGCAAATAAATTCATCACTGTCAGTTGATATTTAAATTCACAAACTTATAAGCAATAAAATCAAAGTAATTTTGTTATAAGTTTTTTGACACCAGATTATGTGGGGTAAATAATTTACTTTCTAATCAAGCAATTGATACATATAAACCTGAAATAGAGAGTTTTGCCTTTTAATTAGATACATTGTTACGCAAAGAGTAGTTGAAGCTGCAGTTGAGAATTATCTTTTTCTCTTTTTGCTGTTCTTACAAGGACAGTTTCTAGAATTGTTTTCAAAACAATAGAACAGAAAATTTCACTTACTCACTTAATTTAACTTTTGTTAAAGTACTTTGCCAAAATTAGGAAACTATGAAAGGAAAGTTTGCCTTTTCAATATATATGTAAGTGGCAAGTAAAAGTTGTTCTTAAATCACGTGATCTCATAGAAATAACATGGGATAAAAAGAGTTCTGAAGGTGTTCAGGAAATGCCAGTCCTAAATGGATTGCTTTGGTGTACTGATTACATTGAACTGAAAATATTTGAAAAATAACAACTGTGGAACATGCTTTCTCTGCACTCCCTTTACGTTCCTCAAGAGAGATCCTCCAAAAGGAATTTTCAATACCAGAATGAATGTATCTTTGTAAAGATACCATTTATCTACCATAACATCCAAAGCATGATGAGGAGATTTTTATACACTGCAGATTTAGAACTGAATTGGAAAACAAAGCTTCAAGATACTGTCTTGTCAGCACAAAGACATTCATCTCCTTCCTAGGAGTTTCATCAGCCAGGGAAAATTGACTCCTCATATCACAGGAGACAAGACTAAGAGTCCATTCCACACCAAGGCACACTGCCACAAACTATCATCTATGCTCCTAGGGGTCTGGTCATCTTTCCCAAAAGTCATTTGCTCTCCCTTAAGTTTCCTACATTCTTCCTCCTGCCTTCCCTACAAGCTCCTAAATCTCACTGGGGTTTTTTCTTGGTGGTGTTTTGTTTGTTTTGTTTTGTTTTGTTTTTGATTCCACTTTTCTTTCCTGTGATTCCCCCATGCGTGTAATAAATGTGTACACATTTTCTTCTTTTGACATGCCTGTTATCCATTTATTCAATAGACTCAGTTATCATACCTTCAGAGGGTAGAGGGAAAGGTCTCCAAGTCCTACAGTTCCAAAAGAAAATAGCTAGTAATGCAAATGCAAAAGTCATATAAACTTTGAGACAAAGTTAGCGTCTTATACGGTACGTTCAGAAAGAAGAGGTGTGTTGCACACCAAGGGATATTTTCCTGGTCTTAGCTACTAAGTTTCTCTGAGAAGAAGCAGTTACTACTACAGCAGTTAAACACCTGACTCCCAAATTATAAAAGCCTAAGTGTTCAGATTAAATCATGAGTTGTCACCTGTGAATCATAAAGTCTGAACTCTTGAAATTGCAAACACACATAGAAAAGCGATTCTTACACAGGGATCCATGAGTGGAACTGCAAAGTTTTGTAAAAATCTATATATATGTTTTCTTTTTAAGGGCAATAGATTTCAATATGTGTTAAAAGATTTCTGGAGCTAGTAAAGATTAATAACCATTTTCATTTTTGTGCTGAAATTGGTAAATCATGGCTTTTCTCCCTCCAACACACCCCCTCCCGCCTCAGCACACCACTGGTTAATCTTTATTTTCAGGAGAGAAAAAGATGTTTCATATTAATAAAGGTAAATTATACACTTGTTTGTTTTATACTTTTCCACCTCTTAAGCTTAATCGTGTTTTAATAATGTATAATTGAATACATTAACATTTAGATGTTAGTAAAGGAATAACAAATGTTCATTATTTCTCTTGAGTAGAGGAATAAAAATTTTGCACCTGTTGTATAGAATGATTTTTAAAATCTCATTCAATCCTTCAGAAGTTTAAGATTTTTTTTCAAGAATTTTTATATAAAATTTTTACTCAGAAGCAGATAGCTCACAAAAAGTATGGGGTTTTTTTGGATTATAAATAAACTATTCCACTCACCAAGATGCTGAGACATCCTACTTTCTGGTATTTTGAAATAAAAACAAAACACAAGAATGTGACGATGAAGCAAGTGAAAATTAAAAGGGTACAGACTTTAGAAGTATCATAAGCTAAAAATAAAATGAAACAAATCTGTAAAGGAACCAAAAGCCCAGGTAGATATAATACAGTAAATTATGAGAAGCTAAAAAAAATGAGGAGGTGATAAACAATAAAGTGAAAATCTCTGATAAAGCCAAAACTACTTGAATGGCAGTCAACAAAACAGAAGAAAAAAATGACACTCATAACAAGGCAGAACTATGGAAATGCATCCCTGGGGGTAAGATAATAGAGTTGCGAATTAGTGGAGGTGGATCACCAATACTGGCCAAATAAAGCCCGCTAACATAATTCAAAGGACGGAGAAATTCTGTAGCTGAAGATAAAAAGTCTGAAATACATTATGGTATAGTCAAATGAGTGTCATTTCTAACAGACACACTTATTTTTCAAGAGTTGATAATAAGAAGTAAAAATTTAGTATGCAAAGTTCAAATTTTCCATTTGTTGAGTAATTCATTTTTATTAAATATTTTCCAACAATTAAAGTGGTACCAGAACAGAGTAGACATTCTGAGTTTTCACTTTACAAAAGCTACACATAAATCTACGTACTTCTTAAGGGTATAAATAAAGTCAGAGCCTGTGTGATATTTCAATAAACAATTGGAGAAAATTTTTTTAAGAATAGATTATATACATATTGACCTCTTTGAGAACCTTATTTTTTTCTTTTTTTGTGTGTGTGTGGACATATGTTTTCATTTCTTTTTTAAATTATTATTATTATACTTTAAGTTTTAGGGTACATGTGCACAACGTGCAGGTTCGTTACATATGTATACATGTGCCATGTTGGTGTGCTGCACCCATTAACTCGTCATTTACATTAGGTGTATCTCCTAATGCTATCCCTCCCCCCTCCCCCCACCCCACAACAGTTCCCAGTGTGTGATGTTCCCCTTCCTGTGTCCATGTGTTCTCATTGTTCAATTCCCACCTATGAGTGAGAACATGTGGTGTTTGGCTTTTCATCCTTGTGATAGTTTACTGAGAATGATGGTTTCCAGCTTCATCCATGTCCCTACAAAGGACATAAACTCATCATTTTTATGGCTGCATAGTATTGCATGTTGTATATGTGCCACATTTTCTTAATCCAGTCTATCATCGTTGGACATTTGGGTTGGTTCCAAGTCTTTGCTATTGTGAATAGTGCCACAATAAGCATATGTGTGCATGTGTCTTTAGAGCAGCATGACTTATAATCCTTTGGGTACATACCCAGTAATGGGATGGCTGGGTCAAACGGTATTTCTAGTTCTAGATCCCTGAGGAATCACCACACCGACTTCCACAATGGTTGAAATAGTTCACAGTCCCATCAACAGTGTGAAAGTTTTCCTATTTCTCCACATCCTCTCCAGCACCTGTTGTTTCCTGACTTTTTAATGATTGCCATTCTAACTGGTGTGAGATGGTATCTCATTGTGGTTTTGATTTGCTTTTCTCTGATGGGCAGTGACAGCATTTTTTCTTGTGTTTTTTGGCTGCATAAATGTCTTCTTTTTAGAAGTGTCTGTTCATATCCTTCTCCCACTTTTTGATGGGGTTGTTTTTTTCTTGTAAATTTGTTTGAGTTCATTGTAGATTCTGGATATTAGCCGTTTGTCAGATGAGTAGGTTGTGAAACTTTTCTCCCATTCTGTATGTTGCCTGTTCACTCTGATGGTGGTTTCTTTTGCTGTGCAGAAGCTCTTTAGTTTAATTAGATCCCATTTGTCAATTTTGGCTTTTGTTGCCATTGCTTTTGGTGTTTTAGACATGAAGTCCTTGCCCGTGCCTATGCCCTGAATGGTATTGCCTAGTTTTTTTCTATGGTTTTTATAATTTTAGGTCTAACATGTAAGTCTTTAATCCATCTTGAATTAATTTTTGTATAAGGTGTAAGGAAGGGATCCAGTTTCAGCTTTCTACATATGGCTTGCCAGTTTTCCCAGCACCATTTATTAAATAGGGAATCCTTTCCCTAGTTCTTGTTTTTGTCAGGTTTCTCAAAGATCAGATAGTTGTAGATATGCGGCATTATTTCTGAGGGCTCTGTTCCATTCCATTGGCCTCTATCTCTCTTTTGGTACAAGTACCATGCTCTTTTGGTCACTGTAGCCTTGTAGTATAGTTTGAAGTCAGGTAGCGTCGTACCTCCAGCTTTGTTCTTTTGGCTTAGGATTGACTTGGCAATGCAGGCTCTTTTTTGGTTCCATATGAACTTTAAAGTAGTTTTTTCCAATTCTGTGAAGACAGTCATTGGTAGCTTGATGGGGATGGCATTGAATCTATAAATTACCTTGGGCAGTATGGCCATTTTTACAATATTGATTCTTCCTACCCATGAGCATGGAAGTTTCTTACATTTGTTTGTATCTTCTTTTATTTCATTGAGCAGTGGTTTGTAGCTCTCCTTGAAGAGGTCCTTCACATCCCTTGTAAGTTGGATTTCTAGGTATTTTATTCTCTTTGAGGCAATTGAGATCCTTATTGTGAGATTCAATTCAGAATCTGGGATTTTGTTTTGTTTTGAGATGTAGTCTCTCTCTGTCACCAGGCTGGAGTACAGTGACACAGTCTCTGCTCACTGCAATCTCTGCCTCCCAGGTCCAAGCATTTCTCCTGCCTCAGCCTCCCAAGTAGCTGGAACTACAGGCACGTGCCACCATACCCAGCTAACTTTTGTATGTTTTTTTAGTAGAGATGGGGTTTCACCATATTGGCCAGGATGGTCCGGATCTGTTGACCTTGTGATTTGCCTGCCTCAGCCTCCCAAAGTGCTGGGATCACAGACGTGAGCCACTGCGCCCAGCCCAGAATCTGGGTCTTAACCAGATTTGCCATTATAAAATGAAATGAAACCAAAACCACCAGTCAATATCTGTAGCAGTGTTATTGTTGGGGAGCATGCACGTTTGTTTGAGCTTACTTATATATACAGAGCTGTTTAGCTTAATCTTTAAATTGAAAATTTTTAGTATTTTTAGAATGTTTTAGATACTTTGATGAATAAATTTTGTGGTAACAAACTACTATTAAAAAAACTTATAAATTAAATATTTCTGAACACATTGGCAGATGTAAATGACAAAGTTATATTCACACAATCAGTTTTTCTTGCACAGAATTGACATTTTGTCAAAAAGTTAAAATCTTTGAAATGTATTTTCTGTCCTCATCTTTCCCCTTTTGAGCATTTTTCCCCCTGGGTTGGTTATAAAATGTTCCCTAACTTCAGGCATCTGGTTAAGTTTTGGGTTTTCTCCCTTCCTACCAACTCATATGGATTGGTAATGATCTGATAGAAGACAATTGCCAAAAATCAATCAAATATGTTTTAAATGAAACTTCTCCAATATAATATTCATATTAATCCTTCTTTAATTGCTGAATGAGTAATAATTGTTCACTGACCCTTAAAATCCTAAAACTTAATCAGCTCACTGGAGTGGATGAATGGATATTTGTCTAGATGAGAATGCTTAAGGTCTACTTGAAGGAGTTCATAATAGTAAAAATGTCCTTTTCTTCCATCAGAAACTTCATCCTGGATCTTTTCATCCTTGTTTTTCTACTAGCTCTCCTTCTCCAAATACACTGACTTGGAACCCCAGTTTCAGTGGTGGACTGCGTGGATTTGATTCTAAGCTATGCTATAATGAGAAAGTAGCTCTAACCCTATTCTCATTTTCTTCACCTGTAATATAGAAATCATCATCAGACAATATACAGATAGGGGCCAGTTATTTCACAGATAATAATAGGTGAAAATGGAGAGTATGTGGGTGTAGACATGGGAAAGTGAGTTTAAATGGTTTCAGGAATCTGGGGAAGTTGTCTTTGGATGATTCAATGTTCTCAGGGAAGCACACCCAAAAAGACATTGAGGATTTCTGGGGAAGTGCTAGGGATTAGAGACAGGATAAGATACAAAACTAGGTAAATTAGAGAGTGAATAGATTGGAACATATGTAGTATGATTGATTGATAGGCGGCACTCAGATTCTCAGTTTCAAGTGGGATATTTTTCAATTTGATCCATATAGCTAGTTGCTCAAATGTATGTGGGGATTTGGTGGAAATTTGGATCTAACCAGGGTTATTTTCCTGGTTAGATTCAGCAAAGTGAAAGAGAAACAAGGAAGTTGAAGTTTCCTGGGAATGGTTGGCCACGGAATTTAGGCAGGAGAACAGGAAATAGAGTACATCAGTAGGTAAGGGTCATTATGAATATGATAAAATAATAGTTTGGAGGTCTCAGAGAGATTGAAAAATTTTATGTCAGCGTATGAAAGGGAATGATTAAAGGAGGAGTTCAGAGAATGGGATGAATGAAATTGTGACTACAGAGGAGTTGTTATTATAAGTAACGACGATGCTTCACTCAGTCCCTCTGGAAGTGTGGTCCCTGTGCTAGCAGCAACAGCATCACCTGGGAACTTACTAGAACTGCATATTCTCAGGTTACACCCCCAGATCTTCCAAATCTGAAATTCCAATAGCAGGTCTCAGCAATCTCTTATTGTAACACAACTGTAGGCAATTTTGAGGCACACAGTAGTTAGCACAACTGGTCTAGTGTATGTCTTATTTGGTCTTCCTCCCCGGTTCACAGTACAGAGCTCCTAAAACTTGAAATTTCCTGATAGAGATGAGAGGACCATCCTTTACTAGTCATAAGTCCCTCTTAGCCATACCTGAGTTTATGCTATTGACATGACATGAGTGGTGGCTGGAGACCCATATGGCTTCAAGGTGGGTGCTTGACACCAGAAACATGAAGGCATAACTAGATGGTTAAAACTGTCAGCCCTCTCCTCCATCACCTCTGAGGTGCTGGGAGGGTGATACAATGATATACTTAGAGGTCATATGGCAGCTTTGTGCCCCTTTTCACCATACCTGGCCCTATGTGTCTCTTCTATTTGACAGTTCCTGATTTGTATCAGACAGTAACTGTAAGCAAAGTGCTTTCTTGGGTTCTGTGAGCCATCTTAGCAAATTATAGAACCTGGGAAAGGAATCCATGGAAGTCCTAATTTATAGCCAGTTGGTCAGGAGTATGACAGGCCCACAACTCCTCTCTAATGGTGGGGGGGGGCAGTCTTGTGGGCCTGAACCCTGAACTTGTGGGATCTGATGCTATCTCCAGATAGATAGTCTCAGGATTGAATTGAATTGTAGGACACCATTTGGTGTCCTGAGAGTTGAAAAATTGATTGGGGTGAGAATAAATCCACAAATTTCATCTCAGAAGTTTGAGTAGAAATAACTCTGTTGGAAAACATTATCGTTAGATCAAAGGTGTTAATAGATCTGAGAGATCAAAATGGCAAAGAGTCATCTATGATTACACATTGTTGACATAAACTAGAATTAAGACAAGAATATGTCAAAGAGAGTTACATTGAGCCAGGGATAAAAATAGTCAATCGATTGATTAGAATTTAGTAAATGCTATTTTTTGAAAAATTAATCTTTAGTTAATTAATGGAGATACTTAATTATCTCCATTTTGAATTTATAACTAAAAAATTGCTATATTATCTATTTTCCATAAATGGAAATTGAAAAGCAATAGCAAAATGCTTCGACAGAAAATCTGTCCTTCTTATTCCCAAGAGGAAGAATGGCCAACTACCTTAAGAAAAAGTTAGAAAAACTTTCATAATTTTTTAAGTTGCCATATTTTATAGCTTTGAACAAGTTGAATTATTAACTAGACTGCCCAGGGAATGGAGCCATCTAATATAATTTCCTTACTATTTAGATAAAATCTTTGTTGTTGAAAATCTTAATCATTTTTAATGATCCTGTTTTCAGAGCCTGATATTAATGATTCGTGAAACTCATTAAATGCAGTTATGCATCTGATTTGAAAATCATGAGGGGGATTTTTGGTCAGATATGCATAGCAAATCTATGTCACTAGACATAAGTCCCTTCTACCCATGCCACAACCTTTATGTCTACTCTTGAATTGAGGTTTTGCTACGTTTTATTTTTGAGGTTTAAGAATTATTCATTTAACTGTCGGAAAATTGTGTTTCTCTTGTTAGAATAGAGCCCAATTTATCCTTTCTATTTTTCATGGAGACATGAAAGGATGTGAATTTGCAATCAGAGAAACCTGAGTTCCACCATGCTTTCTTCCTCTTGCAAGCCATGAAATCCACAGTGGGTTAGTGGATATTACAAAACCTCTGGTCCCACCTTATTAAGATGGAAAAAAATAAGACTAATTGAAAGAACAAATGTGATAATGAGAAGAAATGGTATCAATAAAGTTCCTGGAACACAGTAAGTTCTAACAAATGCTAGTTCTTTTCTTTCATAATTCAAAATGTAAATAGAAGCCAGTTGGTAATTCCAAGATAATAGTATGAAGACAAAAAAAAATGTTTGTTAACTGACCTTCAACCATTGAGACCTTATCTTATAGGAAGCAAAATTAACAAATATTTTCTCCCTTCTACAAATGTATACCCTCTGAGAAAGAGAGACAGTGTTCCAATCAAGATGATGACAGTATTCTGTGCACACATAGGAAAGGAAGAAGAATAAGAGAGAACCTTTAAAAAGACAATTTTAGATAGGCATCCTATTTTTACCGGCAATAACATTTTTTAGAACTTACGGCATACAAAATAGACCTTAAATGGACTCAGTGTTGAGAAATTTTTATAAGGCTGCTTTATTTTCTTCTATGGTAAATCTAGGAACCAATAAAATAGCTTTGATAATTCACTCATTACATTCTTTCCTAACTAAACTATTTACATTATAAACTTTGTTGATATGCTGTGCTTTTGCATTAATAATTCTCATGTGTCTCATTTGTGAATACATGAAAACTAGTTGTAAAATAAGGAAAATGTAATTTTGAAACATCTTCAAAAACAGTTGCATAATTTAACTAATGTTTATAAATTTTCGTCCTTACTCTAAAACCATAGATATCCTAAAAGTGATTGAAGGTAAAATGATTTTTAAAGAACTGGATTTCTCACCATGAGTTATTTTATCTCCATACAAACTGTGGTAGTGTTATACAATGGTTAAGAAGAAATTACTTAAAAATGAGAATAAAGATACAGCTTATTAACACTTCATTTTGTGGATGAGACCTGAAAAATTAAACTTTTCTTCTAGAGACAAGTTGTAGTTGTGTATATAGAGTGTGAATAGTGTCCATATTTTACTGTCATTATTTAAACAGAAACATGTAATTTGCACTTCAAAAACCTACTACAAATTAACTGTGTCATTTGAAGTGTCAAAATTATCTCATTAATGATCAGATAGGCTTTTGGCTCATTGTAATGAGATGTTCCTATAAACCTAATTTGAAAGACAAAGACAGAGTTTGGAGTCTTTAATTCTTGGTAAAATCAGTAGCTCTATTTAGGGCTATATTTGCAAAATACTATTTCAACTCAAGCATATTTTTATTTACAAGGCACTTCACAAATGTTGACCACAAAGATGTTTCTACCTAGCAGAAATAATTATAGTTACATATAGTTGTCTAGGAATATCTTAAACATGGGGTATTAAAATAACTTTCAAGAACAAGAAGAAATGTTACACCAGGCATTTTTGCAACTAGTGCTCTATTTCAGTGCAATATTTGTGGCAATTAAAAAACATAAATGGCTTGGATATATAGCTAAGTTATCAAAGGAAAAATATGCAAAGGCATGATTATTTTATAAATGTGCCACATATGTGACTTGAGGTACAAATCCTCTAAGTTTAAAATTGTCTTTTTAAAAAAGAAATCAAAACAGACAAGTGGGCAATGAGTTATGGATACTATTATAGGGTACCCTGATAAACTAGTAAGAAGACGACTTTTGGTACTGAAAATTCCAATTAACCACATGCCCCCATTAAGGCCATGATCACTGCCAATTTTTACTCACAAAGGCTGGAGCTAGAGTTATATGGAATTCCATATGTATCTAAACCATAGATTTATCAATTATCACTTAAATACAACTTGGAGGACACTATCCAGAATTTGTAGGGCTTGGCCTTATTCTAGAGAAACAAACACTGGAATAGGCAGTTGGATTTTAAATTCAGTCTTAAATCTGTTGAAAATAATGCATTTTTTTCTCAGAGATGAGATATTGTTCAACTCTTTTGACTTATTTTAGATTTGATATTATACAGTTCAAACACCATGGAGATTTACTAATCTGAATGAACACATACCAAATTAGTCTTTGCTCCAGTCTCGAAATCTGAGATTAATTCTGGCTGCTGAAGAAATTTTCCAGTGTTAGGAGTATGCTTCAATGCTGGTGACCAGTACTACTTTCTGGTAAACTATAGATGACATGTGCGCTTTCATTGCCTAAACTCACTTTGTAGAACACCATTAAATGAAAATCATCACCAGCAATTTGGGAGGCTAAGGCGGGCAGATCATTTGAGGTCAGGAGTTTGAGACCAGCCTGGCCAACATGATGAAACCCCGTCTCTACTGAAAATACAAAAACTTATCCAGGCATGGCGGGATGCACCTGGAATCCCAGCTACTTGGGAGGCTGAGGCAGGAAAATCGCCTGAACCCAGGATGTGAAGGTTGCAGTGAACAGAGATGTTGCCATTGCACTCCAGCCTGGGCAACAGAGTGAGACTTCATCTCCAAAAAAAGGAAAAAATGAGAGAGAGAGAGAAAAAAAATTATCAGTGTTCAGTGACTCTTTGTTTTTCATGCTGATAAACTATTACGCAGAAAAAGAAAATTTTCATGCTGATAAACTATTACACAGAAAAAGAAATGTATCCATTATGGACAATTAAAAGGGCTATACAATCTCTCTCATTGTATGATTCTGGTTTTCTTTATTTTTCTTTTCTTTTTTTCTTTTTTTTTTTTAATACAGGATCTCACTCTCTCACCCAGGCTGGAATGCAGTGGCTCTATCTTGACTCACTGCAACCTCAGCTTCCTGGGTTCAAGCTATTCTCCTGCCTTAGCCTCCTGAGTAGCTAGGAATAAAGGCATTCACCACCACGCCAGCTAATTTGTGTATTTTTTTAATACAGGTGGCGTTTTGCCATGTTGCCCAGGCTGGTCTTGAACTCCTGACCTCAAATGATCCTCCTGCCTCGGCCTCCCTAAGTGTTGGCATTACAGGCATAAGCCACCATGCTTGGCCCGATTCTGTTTTTTAACACAATTCTTATTACTTCCGTTTTAATTTTACAAAGCCATAGGTTTTTAATCTGGGAAACCTTTGAGAAAACATCCAGATAAATTTATAAATAGAAAAATAAATTCAGACAAATAGAATTAAGTTTATGATCTAACAAGTGGGTGGCAACCGAAAACTTTCCAAGTTCCATAAACTGAAGTGAAAGGATCACTTTCCTGAAAATATTACAAAGGCTTGATAATTACCTGGATTGTACTAAAACCTACACAATCTAGTATATTCTATAGCAGCAATTCATAAAGACAGCTTCACTTACCATGTAGAATTTATACGTACACTAAATTTAAGGAATGCGTTACTTGCTATTGGAGTAGGATAATAAACTCCCAGCAGAACTGATTTTCATGAATGCCTATTAAACTATCATTGATGTAGAAATTAAACAATATATTAAGCTATTCAGACCCAGATTGTGAGAGACAGAGAAAAACTTCAAAAAAGTTCAGCTACCAAATCCCTTCCTCAATAGCTCTTTGAGTCTCAAGACAGTTTCAACCACACACATCCTCAGAGTCTTATGGTCCAAACAACATTTGACTGCAGCTCTAAAGTAAGCAAACATTTGAAAAGAAACTCAAAGATCTATGCCTGTAGTTATGGTCAAGGAGGTCCACCTACTGGTGGGTGAGCATGGCAAGGATAGGGACTAAGCCAAATGATGGGTTTACCAAAACAGAAACAAGAGAAGTCATTGGAAGCACAGTCCAGGTTATAACAGGAGCCCAGGCACTTGATGTGGGAACCCTATTTGTCTCATTCAGCACCTAGAGTTTTAACGTCCTATGAGGCACAGCTAATGCCCTTCATTATTTTTTTGTAATTGACTGCATAGTTTAGAACTATGCCTTGAATTTAATATCTATCTGTTGAATAAATGAATTAATAATGATGAAAATCTGTCCACAGGTTATGTGCAGTACTGAAGAGCAACTTCAGCTATTGAGGTATCTATCAGAAGTCTTACTCTCCAAAAAGCCTCTGGTTAGTTACTGATATACGTTGCTGATAATTTCACTCTCACAATGTAGGGGAAGCAGGAATATTATCTGGCCTCTTGGTTCCTCTTCCTTTGACTTCCACAGATCTCTCTGCTGGTTCACAGAGGAACACTTTCGTGGCTCTCAGTTCATTTTGCAATTCTGCTAGAATCTCATTCCATCCTCAGTTGTAACTACCTTGTCCTTCACCCAAAGCTTATTTACGGAGGGACAGATAGCAAGAAGAAATCGCACTCTGGATTACAAAGTGGGAAGACGCACCCCTTGGCCAGAATGCCTGCCTCCTATGTTCATGAAGGATATTTCTAATTGATCTCAGCACTCTTTTCCATTGAGCCCATGTCCCAAATTGGCCGTGAGTTAGGGAGAGGGCTCTAGAGTGGGAAAGGTGTACCCAAAACTTCCCTAATCTGACTATCAAGCCTAAAAAATTAAACTTTCAATTCAACATCCCTTGTTTCTCCAACTTGGAGTGCTTGATGGTGTGGGAAGCCCCTACTCATAAAAATTCATAGTTGAAGATTGTTGGTAATTTTGCCCAACCTCCTTCTTTTCTTTTTATTCTACTTTAAGTTCTAGGGTACATGTGCACAACGTGCAGGTTCATTACATATGTATACATGTGACATGTTGGTGTGTTGCACCCATTAACTCGTCATTTACATTAGGTATATCCCCTAATGCTTTTCCTTCCCTAGCCCATCACCCCACAACAGGCCCCGGTGTGTGATGTTCCCCTTCCTGTGTCCATGTGTACTCATTGTTTAATTCCCACCTATGAGTGAGAACATGTGGTGTTTGTTTTTTTGTCCTTGTGATAGTTTGCTGAGAATGATGGTTTCCAGCTTCATCCTTGTCCCTACAAAGGACATGAACTCATCATTTTTATGGCTGCATAGTATTCCATGGTGTATATGTGCCACATTTTCTTAATCCAGTCTATCATTGTTGGACATTTGGGTTGGTTCCAAGTCTTTGCTATTGTCAGTAGTGCCTCAATAAACTCCTTCTTTCTTTGCCTAGTTACACCTCAATGCAACCTCCTGGCAGGCCAGCCTTAAGCCCAGCAGTCCAACCATGCATCTAAGCTGAGTTCTCATCAGAGCCAACTTCAATTATAAACAACTGAGATGATGCCAGAGGCCAGAATCCCTGAGAACCCAATTTGCTGTCATCACCACAGCTGAAACAAGGTGCTTGGCATCTAGAAAAGCTGATCTGTAGGAAATTTCCAATAGAGTTCAACTTTTTCTAAGTTTAAAGTGTACAATATCACCAAGGTGAGACACTCAAGATAAAACTAGGCTTGTGTTTAAATATAATAAAAATATTTGAAGAATAGTAAGAGTGGTGACTACTTTTACACAGGAATGTTTCAAATAAATTGTTTTTTTCTTGTGCCTTTTAAATTTTGTGATTTGTCAATGAGATGCTGACATGTTTTTAATGAAGCATGCCTTGTAAAATAATAAGTGAATGAAAACTACACCGTAATATTTACATCAACAAAGCTAGAAGAAGACTGTATGTCTCAAGAGGCTCCATCATCTACCCAGTGGCCACTTCACCAAATTAAGATCCAAATACCAAAAAGAAAAGTAATTAAAATTTGTGTTGTATGCCTTATAAGACCAAACCTATAAAATGAGGGGAAACTTCACAATTACTTGTAATTTGCTCTGTGGAATTGTAACAGATGGATTATAAAGATGATTCCATGATAAACATCTAAATGTGGTTACTACCTTCTGTGCTTTCTTGGTTCATATTTTTATTGTTTTTTTCTTTATAAACAGATAATTCATTCTTATCTATGGCAATGCAAACTTTTCAGATGCATTGAATATGTCATAGTTTTTTTCTATTGTAGGCATCTCTAAAAAAGTTATAGAAAACAAACAGAGAAAAGTCTGGTGTTGGAAAGGAGAGAGAAATAAAGCTTGTAAAGGAATGAAGATTAGAGCTTTCTGGAGATAAAAATTCTTAGAAGATACAAAAGCTAGTTACTGAATTAGATGAAGGTTCTTTTTCAGTTTTTCCCAGTTGTTCACCTCTTAGAAGGCACATATTCACAGCAGAAAAGAAAAAAAGTGTTAAAAAGAAAATACTTCGGTGTAGTGAGACTGTAATTTCATGAGGGCATTACTGAAGACTCACTTTTTCCAGCATCACTCAGCATGGTATTATGCACGTGTGTAATGTAAAGGAAAGTGAATATGCATTCTTGGATGGGTGATCAAATCGTAATTCCAGAATATAATCAGAAGCTGATTCATTATCCTCTTGAGATTTCACAATCTTTTCATCAGGAATTAAAATTCAGAAGAGGGTAAATGTATCTAATCAGTTGAAAGTTAAAAATTAGAGGATGGAGGCAACATGGCCGAATAGGAACAGCTCCAGTCTACAGCTGCCAGCGTGAGTGATGCAGAAGACAGGTGATATCTGCATTTCCAACTGAGGTACCAGGTTCATCTCACTGGGGAGTGCTGGACAGTGGGTGCAGCGCACCATGCATGAGCCAAAGCAGGGAAAGGCATCACCTCACCTGGGAAGCACAATGGGTCAGGGAATTCCCTTTCCTAGTCAAAGAAAGGGGTGACAGATGGCACCTGGAAAATCAGGTCACTCCCACCCTAATACTGCGCTTTTCCAACAGGCTTATCAAATGGCACACCAGGAGATTGTATCCAGCACCTGGCTTGGAGGATCCTACACCCACGGAGCCTAGCTGTTTGCTAGCACAACAGTCTGAGATCAAACTGCAAGGTTACAGTGGGGCTGGGGGAGGGGCGCCCACCATTGCTCAGGCTTGAGTAAGTAAACAAAGCAGCCAGGAAGTTCGAAATTGGTGGAGCCTAACACAGCTCAAGGAGGCCAGCCTGCCTCTGTAGGTTCCACCTCTGGGGGCAGGACACAGACAAACAAAAGACAGCAATACCCTCTGCAGACTTAAATATCCCTGTCTGACAGCTTTGAAGAGAGTAGTGGTTCTCCCAGCATGCAGCTTGAGATCTGAGAACGGGCAGACAGCCTCCTCAAGTGGGTTCCTGACCCCTGAGTAGCCTAACTGGGAGGCACCCCCAAGTAGAGGCAGACTGACATCTCACATGCCCGGGTACCAATCTGAGTCAAAACTTCCAGAGGAACGATCAGGCAGCAGCATTTGCAGTTCACCAATATCCACTGTTCTGCAGCCACCGCTGCTGATACCCAGGCAAATAGTGTCTGGAGTAGACCTCCAGTAAACTCCAACAGACCTGCAGCTGAGGGCCCTGACTGTTAGAAGGAAAACTAACAAACAGAAAGGACATCCACACCAAAACCCCATCTGTATGTCACCATCATCAAGGACCAAAGGAAGATAAAACCACAAAGATGGGAAAAAACAGAGTAGAAAACCTGGAAACTCTAAAAATCAGAGTGCCTCTCCTCCTGCAAAGGAATGCAGCTCCTCACCAGCAATGGAACAAAGCTGGACGGAGTATGACTTTGACGAGTTGAGAGAGAAAGGCTTCAGAAGATCAAAGTACTCCGAGCTAAAGGAGGAAGTTCGAACCAGTGGCAAAGAAGTTAAAAACTTTGAAAAAAAATTAGACGAATGGATAACTAGAATAACAAATGCAGAGAAGTCCTTAAAGGACCTGATGGAACTGAAAACCATGGCACAAGAACTACATGACAAATGCATAAGCCTCAGTAACCGATGTGATCAACTGGAAGAAAGATTATCAGCGATGGAAAACGAAATGAATGAAATAAAGCATGAAGAGAAGTTTAGAGAAAAAGGAATAGAAGAAATGAACAAAGCCTCCAAGAAATATGGGACTATGTGAAAAGACCAAATGTATGTCTAATTGGTGTACCTGAAAGTGACGGGGAGAATGGGACCAAGTTGGAAAACACTCTGCAGGATATTATCCAGGAGAACTTCCCCAATCTAGTAAGGCAGGCCAACATACAAATTCAGGAAATACAGAGAATGCCACAAAGATACTCCTCGAGAAGAGCAACTCCAAGACACATAATGGTCAGATTCACCAAAGTTGAAATGAATGAAAAAATTTTAAAGGCAGCCAAGAGAAAGGTCAGGTTACCCACAAAAGGAAGCCCATCAGACAATCTGCTGATCTCTCCTCAGAAACTCTACAAGCCAGAAGAGAGTGGGGGCCAATATTCAACATTCTTAAAGAAAAGAATTTTCAACCCAGAATTTCATATTCCGCTAAACTAAGCTTCATAAGTGAAGGAGAAATAATATACTCCACAGACCAGCAAATGCTGAGAGATTTTGTCACCACCAGGCCTGCCCTAAAAGAGCTCCTGAAGGAAGCACTAAACATGGAAAGGAACAACTGGTACCAGCCACTGCAAAAACATGCCAAATTGTAAAGACCATCAAGGCTAGGAAGAAACTGCATCAACTAACGAGGAAAATAACCAGCTAACATCATAATGACAGGATCAAATTCACACATAACAATACTAACCTTCAATGTAAATGGGTTAAATGCTCCAATTAAAAGGCACAGACTGGCAAATTGGATAAAGAGTCAAGACCCATCAGTGTGCTGTATTCAGGAAACCCTTCTCACCTGCAGAGACACACATAGGCTCAAAATAAAGGGATGGAGGAAGATCTACCAAGCAAATGGAAAACAAAAAAAGGCAGGGGTTGCAATCCTAGTCTCTGATAAAACAGACTTTAAACCACCAAAGATCAAAAGAGACAAAGAAGGCCATTACATAATGGTAAAGGGATCAATTCAACAAGAACTAACTATCCTAAATATATATGCACACAATACAGAAGCACCCAGATTCATAAAGCAAGTACTTAGTGATCTACAAAGTGACTTAGACGCCCACAAAATAATAATGGGAGACTTTAACACCCCACTGTCAACATTAGACAGATCAACGAGACAGAAAGTTAACAAGGATATACAGGAATTGAACTCAGCTCTGCACCAAGCAGACCTAATAGACATCTACAGAACTCTCTATCCCAAATCAATGGAATATGTATTCTTTTCAGCACCACACCACACCTATTCCAAAATTGAGCACATAGTTGGAAGTAAAGCACTCCTCAGCAAATGTAAAAGAACAGAAAGTATAACAAACTCTCAGACCACAGTGAAATCAAACTACAACTCAGGATTAAGAAACTCACTCGAAACCACTCAACTACATGGAAACTGAACAACCTGCTCCTGAATGACTACTGGGTACATAAGGAAATGAAGGCAGAAATAAAGATGTTCTTTGAAACCAACAAGAACAAAGACACAACATACTGGAATCTCTGGGACACATTCAAAGCAGTGTGAAGAGAGAAATTTACAGCACTAAATGCCCACAAGAGAAAGCAGGAAAGAAATAAAATTGACATCTTAAATCACAATTAAAAGAACTAGAGAAGCAAGAGCAAACACATTCAAAAGCTAGCAGAAGGCAAGAAGTAACTAAGATCAGAGCAGAACTGAAGGAAATAGAGACACAAAAAACCCTTCAAAAAATCAATGAATACAGAAGCTGTTTTTTGAAAAGATCAACAAAATTGACAGACCACTAGCAAGACCAATAAAGAAGAAAAGAGAGAAGAATCAAATAGATGCAATAAAAATTGACAAAGGGGATATCACCACCGATCCCACAGAAATACAAACTACAATCAGAGAATACTATAAACACCTCTACACAAATAAACTAGAAAACCTAGAAGAAATGGATAAATTCCTTGACACATATACTCTCCCAAGACTAAACCAGGAAGAAGTTGAACCTCTGAATAGACAAATAACACTCTCTGAAATTGAGGAAATAATTAATAGCTTACCAACCAAAAAAAGTCCAGGACCAGATGGATTCAAAGCCGAATTCTACCAGTGGTACAAGGAGGAGCTGGTACCATTCCTTCTGAAACTATTCCAATCAATAGAAAAAGAAGGAATCCTCCCTAACTCATTTTATGAGGCCAGCATCATCCTGATACCAAAGCCTGGCAGAGACAAAACAAAAAAAAGAGAATTTTAGACCAATATCCTTGATGAACATTGATGCAAAAATCCTCAATAAAATACTGGCAAACCGAATCCAGCAGCACATAAAAAAGCTTATCCACCATGATCAAGCGGGTTTCATCCCTGGGATGCAAGGCTGGTTCAACATATGAAAATCGGTAAATGTAATCCAGCGTATAAACAGGACCAAAGACAAAAACCACATGATTATCTCAATAGATGCAGAAAAGGCCTTTGACAAAATTCAGCAAACCTTCATGCTAAAAAATCTCAATAAATTAGGGATTGATAGGATGTATCTCAAAATAATAAGAGCTATCTATGACAAACCCACAGTCAATATCATACTGAATGGGCAAAAACTGGAAGCATTCCCTTTGAAAACTGGCACAAGACAGGGATGCCCTCTCTCACCACTCCTATTCAATATAGTGTTGGAAGTTCTGGCCAGGGCAATCAGGAAGGAGAAGGAAATAAAGGGCATTCAATTAGGAAAAGAGGAAGTCAAATTGTCCCTGTTTGCAGATGACATGACTGTGTATGTGGAAAACCCCATCGTCTCAGCCCAAAATCTCCTTAAGCTAATAAGCAACTTCAGCAATGTCTCAGGATACAAAATCAATGTGCAAAAATCACAAGCATTCTTATACACCAATAACAGACAAACAGAGAGCCAAATCATGAGTGAACTCCCATTCACAATTGCTTCAAAGAAAATAAAATACCTAGGAATATCACTTACAAGGGAAGTGAAGGACCTCTTCAAGGAGAACTACAAACTACTGCTCAATGAAATAAAAAAGGATACAAACAAATGGAAGAACATGCCATGCTCATGGGTAGGAAGAATCAATATCGAGAAAATGGCCATACTGCCCAAGGTAATTTATAGATTCAATTCCATCTCCATCAAGCTACCAATGACTTTCTTCACAGAATTGGAAAAAACTAATTTAAAGTTCATATGGTACCAAAAAAGAGCCTGCATTGCCAAGTCAATCCTAAACCAAAAGAACAAAGGTGGAGGCATCATGCTACCTGACTTCAAACTATACTACAAGGCTACAGTAACCAAAACAGCATAGTACTAGTACCAAAACAGAGATATAGACCAATGGAACAGGACAGAGCCCTCAGAAATAATGCCACTTATCTACAGCTATCTGATCTTTGACAAACCTGACAAAAACAAGAACTAGGGAAAGGATACCCTATTTAATAAATGGTGCTGGGAAAACTGGCTAGCCATATGTAGAAAGCTGAAACTGGATCCCTTCCTTACACCTTATACAGAAATTAATTCACGATGGATTAAAGACTTACATGTTAGACCTAAAACCATAAAAACCCTAGAAGAAAAACCAGGCAATACCATTCAGGACATAGGCATGGGCAGAGACTTCATGTCTAAAACACCAAAAGCAATGGCAACAAAAGCCAAAATTGACAAATGGGATCTAATTAAACTAAGGAGGTTCTGCACAGCAAAAGAAACCACCATCAGAGTGAACAGGCCACCTACAGTATGGGAGAAAAGTTTTGCGACCTCCTCATCTGACAAAGGGCTAATATCCATAATCTACAATGAACTCAAACAAATTCACAAGAAAAAAACAAACAACCCCATCAAAATGTGGGCAAAGGAAATGAACAGACACTTCACAAAAGAAGACATTTTGCAGCCAAAAGACACATGAAAAAATGCTCATCATCACTGGCCATCAGAGAAATGCATATCAAAACCACAGTGAGATACCATCTCACACCAGTTAGAATGGCAATCATTAAAAAGTCAGGAAACAACAGCTGCTGGAGAGGATGTGGAGAAATAGGAACACTTTTACACTGTTGGTGGGACTGTAAACTAGTTCAACCATTGTGGAACTCGGTGTGGTGATTCCTCAGGGATCTAGAACTAGAAATACCATTTGACCCAGCCATCCCATTTCTGGGTATATACACAAAGGATTATAAATCATGCTGCTATAAAGACACAAGAACATGTATGTTTATTGTGACACTATTCACAATAGCAAAGACTTGGAGCCAACACAAATGTCCAACAATGATAGACTGGATTAAGAAAATGTGGCACATATAAAACATGGAATACCATGCAGCCATAAAAAATGTTGAGTTCATGTCCCTTGTAGGGACATGGATGAAGCTAGAAACCATCATTCTCAGCAAACTATTGCAAGGAAAAAAACCAAATACCACATGTTCTCACTCATAGGTGGGAATTGAACAATGAGAATACATGGATGCAGGAAGGGGAACGTCACACACTGGGGACAGTTGTGGGGTGCGGGGAGGGGGGAAGGAGAGCATTAGGAGATATACCTAATGTTAAATGACGAGTTAATGGGTGCAGCACACCAACATGGCCCATGTATACATATCTAACAAACCTGCACGTTGTGCACATGTACCCTAAAACTTAAAATATAATAATAAAAAAAAATTAACAGGAGACTTTTATACAGATAAATTTGCTTTGCATCATGATCAGCACTAAAGAGCATCATAGATTTAAACCATATTTTCACAGTTAAAACAATGTAACCAAATATGCAATATATTATGTAACATTCTACAAGATGTTTTCAAACATGCAAACTGAGCTTTAAAACAATTTTGCATAAAATAACATTTCTAGGTGAGAGAAAATACAGACATGTGGTTAGGGCAAAATATTTCTGTTCAAATTACAAAATACTGAATGACAAATCACAGGATAGAAAAGAATTATATTGTACCTGGAATTTGAAGTCTTCAAATTTATTTAGATATATGTATCTATATGTATTAATAGAGACATATTTAACTGATTATAAGTTTAGAACATTTATATTTTAAAGATGTCATTCTTTAAAAATTATTAATATCTACAGGATTGCTGCAGATATTTTAATTTTAAACAAATATTTTTCACTAATGTGACCAGTATTTATGTCCTATTTCATTAAACAGACATTTCAAGATTTTTTAGAGTTAATTTTTAAAAATTAAGTATCACAAATATTTCTGAAATACTACCTTAAAAAATAAAACTCTTTCCTAGCTTTTCATATAGTTAAACATTTTCATAATGACTAAAAAGATAAAAATAAATTAACAACCATAATTAAATTAGAATTCTACTTTTTATATCAGATGAAATACTACATAAAATGTCCAGAAAATCTAGTGTTAATGAGGCTGTGCAGCCTGGACATTTGATGTCTCATCTGTGGGAATGTGAACTAACCCAACCATTCTGAATAATTATTGGCTCTGTGTGTTAACAGTCTAGAGTCCTGAAACAAGGATCTTAATTCTAAAATAAAATCCTATTCTAAGAATATACCAAGGGTTGATAATCAAGGAAGTTTCAAAGTTATAGAGAAGAACCTTCATCCTAGCATTATATATGTAATCATCCATATAAACCAGATAGTGTTGAATGAAATTACAGAAAAACAAAGAGCCTACAGAATATGTTTCTCTTTGTGTACAACAGTAAATGTACACATCTATCCATGTAAAATTTTACATCTCAGGAAGATAGGTACCAACATGTTAACATGCTATATCTATAAGATAAGAAATTTTACTTTCCTACAATTTCATACACACACACACTCTCAAACACACATACCCACACACCGAGGATATATACACACACAAATATATATATAAACATAGATGTTTATATAGGTACACACACACATACATATACACAGATGGTCAACAAATTATAATGGTTCAATTTATGATTTTTTTTACTTTATGATGAAGCAAGTGATAGCTTTGAATAGAATATAACCATTCTGCTTTTCACTTTCAGTACAATATTCAACAAATTACATAAAATATCCAATACTTTATTATAAAGTGGGTTTTGTATTCAATGATTTTGCCCAATTGTCAGCTGATGTAAGTGTTCTGAGCACATTAAAGGTATGCCAGGCTAAGCTGTGATATTCAGTAAGTTAGATATTAAATACATTTTTAACTTACTGTATTTTCAATTTATAATCAGCTTATCAAGACTTACCCCATTGTACATTGAAAAGCATTTGTATTGCATTAAACATGTTATATATATTTTTAATTGAAATTACTGGCAACTTTTGAAAAAATGTAATGAAATAATGTGCTTTGCTATTGGTTAAAATGTTTTTGGGCAGGGTCAGTGGCTTACACCTGTAATCCCAGCACTTTGGTAGGCTGAGGTGGGCAGATCGCTTGAGGTCAGGAGTTTGAGACCAGCCTGGCAAACAGGGTGAAACCCCATCTCTACTAAAAATACAAAAATCATCTGAGTGTGGTGGCATGTGCCTGTAATCCCAGCTACTAGGGAGGCTGAGGTGTGAGAATTGCTTGAACTAGGCAAGCAGAGGTTGCAGTGAGCCAAGATCATGCCACTGCACTCCAGCCTGGGCAACAGAGTAAGATTCTGTCAAAAAAAAAAACAGAAGGAAAGAAAAGAAAAAAAAGTTTTTAGCTTCAAGTAACAGAATAGTCAACTAATTAAAGAAAAAAACAAGGAGCAACTTTTACCAAATCGCACAACAAATAGATGGTATCAATGCTAAGTTAATTCAACATGATCCACTTTGTGATTCTCTTATCTTTCTACCTATGTTTTCAAGATGGCTATGGCATTCCCAGCCTTACAACTTCATGTGACAAAATCCAATGGCAGGAAATAATAAGTGATGGCATTTTGGAACTTTAAGGAAAAACTTTAAGGATTGGAAAACAGGGATGCCGTATGTCCAGTAACATGGGATAGCCGTTCCTAATTAAGGATTGCTGTATGTCCTGAATGACTTTCTAATGTAATGAAGGTGAATAACCTGCTTTGTTTAATTATACAATCCCAAATGTAACTGCCTAAGTGCCAAGTACTTTTGCATGGTTTTAATATGCCATGAATTTTGCAAGAATGAAACTACTATGTATATGAGAAAAGATGGTAGGTTTTTTCATTTAGATACTCATTTCAGAGTCTCAATAGGAAAAACAGAACACACTCAAACTAAGATAATTTAACATGGGTTTATTTCCAAAGAGACTACTTACGAAAATGTCAGGGGAGAAGGGTGAAGGAATCACAGAAATCACACCCCACAATAACTCTGGGTTAGTAGCAGCAGGCAGAGTTCTGGGGAGTAAACTTCCCTGATCACGCAAGGAAACACTAATTTTCTTATGAAAAAGATTGGTCAAAGAGACCTAGCAGAGAGGGAGTTTAGGCAATAACCCCCAATCCCATTTCCTCCTTCCCTTTAAACTCATGAACATGCATAGAAGGCAATGAGCAAGGGAACAGATTGAGATATTCAATATGGACCATTCCACTTGGACAAAAGCCAGTAAATAGGGGAGTATAACAGGGGACAAGGGCCAAACAGAAAGTATCTATTACATTTACCAATGCAGATCAATCATGTCAAAAACAGAAATGGCAGTTTTGGCATTTGGTTATTCAATGAAACTATATTTGTAGCTTTTTATTTACAATGTTTCAAGGTATGGGCGAAGATATGAAAATTTCATTATGTTCTATTGTATTTGATATGTAAATGTTCTGGCACAATTATATACATTTTGGATCATATATTGACAGCAAATTATTTCTCCTTTGTTAGCTTCAGCATAACATTAATATTTTCAACAACTTGAATGCATACATTGTGTTCTCACTAATAGTTTAGAATAATGAAGGGGTCTTTGAAGAATTTCTTATGAAGTAGAGGCATTGGGTCAGACAGAGCCGAAAACCATTGGCTTAGATTAATCACTATTTATCCTAGGGCTGAAGAGGGCCAACTGAAGACACAAATGTCCAATCCCTCTATGACCTTGGAGTTCTATGAACCAGAGAAATAGAGACTGGTTCTTAAGGAGGTAATAAGTGTGCCTTCTATGGTTTATAATAACATGCATTGTCTTAACAATCGAATACTTAAAAGTTAGTGCCCTCATAATATGCAAAATTTTTAATAAGCACATTGGTCCCTGTGTTCAAGTAGTTGGTAATCAAATTAGCGAAGTATGGTAAGTCTTTTGAAGAGCATTAAACAGCAGAGAATGTAAGAAATTTGTCTCTATAATAGTGTGGGCCTTCTGTGTTTCCTAAGGGCACATTCATATGATCTAATAACTGAGCAGAGAGAAGCCTAAAGGATAGTTTTTGGTTTCATTTGTTTGTTTTTGCCAATTAACATACATTTCTAGATTAAAAGTCAACTATCTTTTCCTTGGGAGTCAACTATAGGAGAAGATAGTGAAGAGGCAAGGAAAATTACAGCAGCTCAACAGCTTTATCCTGGAAATATCTGTATTGTGTACCACTATAGCCTACCTTTATCAGTCAGATAACAATGTCAAAGAGGCAAGCTTGGCACCATTGGTCTTAGTGAAACCCTGCTGCCAGCCTTTTATCCTAAGTGCTCTCCAAAGACCCATTTAATGGACCTTCCTGAAATTGTGCTCAGGATCAATGTGAGGCTCATTGATACAGCATTTTTGGAAGTCACCATTTGCTTATTTCTTAAACCTGGGATAGTTGCCCGACTTCTATCATCTGAAATCCTCTCCATGACTTTCAAAATTACCAACATTGGTTCCAACATCATTCCTAGAAAACATTTCAGTGGAGTATATTTATCTGACATTTGACTGTATTTATAGCAGTAAGAATCTATGATGATTCCTCCCAAAATAATCCCACAACTACCCATTTTGGGTCACCTTTGAGGGTCTTATCCTTAATATCAGAGATCTGTTCTATACATTCGAGTATTAGAAATACTTACTAGCTTCTCTCTGAATTTAACTGAAGTTCCTTACTTTTATTCAGCCTGTTACCTAAATTACATAATGTATTGAAGGCTAAAAACTGTCCAAATTTCTGATTACATTGAGTGAAAAATGGGAATATGACTTTCTTTTTCTAACTTGGCAAAGATTATGTTTTTTTCATGAAGAAATATAGGCATATTTAAACACTCAGAATCTGAGAATTTGAAATACATGAAACTTAGCAAGTGGTCTTTAAGTAGTTTTCATTTCTAAATTATAGTACATACCATTGAATGCTACAGAAGGAAAGACAATGAGGGATTACTCATAAACATTGCCTTTATGATATCCTTCCAAAGAAAACCAAGTGTCCCTGTGCTTGGACTCATAAAGCAGAAATGCTTACCTTGCTTTTATGTCACTAACAAACAATTGTGCCTAGTCATTTAATTCTAACGCATTTAAGCCATCTAGAGAGTGGAGCCCCTAGGGAAAACTACAAATGGAAAATTCATTGATTTTTGATTTTGCTTTCCTATGGATTAAATTTAACACTTTCTTGTAAATCTCTCCCTTTACAGATCATATGTGATAAATAGTTATCCAACTTTCTAGATGTCCACCCAGAGCTGCTTCCATATGAAGAGGTGGAAACGGATTCTGTGCATGATACTGGTTAGGATCGGGAACTGTTTTTTTTTAAAGGAGATTTTTAAAATTTGTTTTCCTTGTACACATAGCCTTAATATTGTGTTGCTAACTGCCCTCTGGGAACAAAGTCATACCAATCACAAATACATTGCCTAAAGTGGGAGGGTTATTACTCTGCCGTGAATTCCATCTCCTATTATGTTTTAAAGATGCTACAAACTTGAGACATTACTATGTAGATGACATTCCCAGCAAATCCCCAAACAACACTTAATGAGATTTCAAATACCAGGATCATGAAACAGTAAGAGATATAAGGAAATAAAGAAAAGCACAGTATATGTGAAGAAGGCATTAAAACACAAATTTTATAATTATGAATGCATATAATAAGGAACAAGTTTTATTCTAAATAGCAATTATATCAGAACTACGATACAGGGAATAAAAGTGAATATTAAGCCATTGTGCCAACAATAACAGAGCCCTTTTTCTGCTGCGTGATGGAATTTAGTGTTTACTAAGGAAGAAAAAAATGCAAGATATCTTAAATTTGGTACTTTCCAACAAATTTAAGAAATGTGTACACACTTGAGGAGACTTAAGAAGTCTCTGACTAAAACACTAGAAAAGAAAAGCAGTGAAAAGCCAAATAAGTATTACTCAACAATAACAACATTTGTTACTATTATATTAATATTAAACACACTATTAAGCAACAACATTTCAGTTACTCACTGAGCCCAAAGTCATTTTTCATGAACCATTCACAACACTGATAACCTATTGAAAAATGATTGAAAACAAAAAAGCTTATTTCTTTCCAAGTCCTTTTAAAGCCTTCTCATGTGTCATTTCATATAATCCTTATAACGAATCTATGGAGTATATACTGACTTTATCTCTGTACAGAAAAGAAAACTGAATCACATTCAGAATAAGTTGCAAAGTTCCCCAGATAATCAGTGTCATAGGTGAAATATGATGTCACAGTGTACTCAAGAGTAATTTAGGGAAGCAGTACAAATAATGGTTGAAAGCACAGGTTCTGGGGTAAATAGCCTGAAGTCAAAATCTAGTTCATATCCTCAGTGGCTGTGTGATCTTGGGAAATTTCCTTTAACTCTCTGTGTCTTGATTTTATAGTTTCATCCATTTTTGCCTCTCATATGATCTGGTGAGCGTTACACTAGTTTATGCTTCTAGGACACCGAAAACAGTACCTGGCTCTTGATAAATATTAACAATTTTGTTTCATTTTCTTCACCTTGAGTATTTCATGGCCAGATGGAAATCAATGTCAATATGAAAAAATGTTCATAATTCAGCAGGAAGAAATACAAAACCATATAAACAACTTTTTTTACTGGCAAGTGTATTTGGAAGCTATGTTAAATTGAGAAGGGGAAGGGAAAGCCTCTAAGGATGTCGATTAATCAATGACTGAAAGCTCATGAGACTTGTCTGGATTTTTTTTTGGAGACTCTGAGACTTAAAATTTTGACAAAATAAGGAGATGAATTGAGTAGTGTGGAAGAGACATTTTCTGAAGTCAGCAGAGAAACGAGAGACAAATATGGTAAGGGGAAAATGGTATGAAGTAATAATATGAATGAAGTGCTTTCTAAAGTATAACACATGTAAGTTGTGTTAAATGTAAACTATCATGATTATATCATTACTGGCTGACTGATACAACCATATCCACCTCAGTTAGCCACATAAGATCAATTTTCCTATACCTTAGAGAATACCAGTAACCTCCAGTTCAGAAACAGCATAAATATCTATCCACAGCTGAGCAGACACATACAGCTAGCTACCAGATGAAATGGGCTATATCTTCAAATACTATTCTTTTCCGTTTTTTAACTGTGGCAAAACACACTCAACAATTTGCATCTTAACCACTGTTAAGTATACAATTCAGTGTCATTAAATGTATTCACAATGTTGTGCAAGCATCACCACCACCCATCTCCATAATTCTTTTTGTCTTGTAAAATTGAAATCCTGTACCCATTAAAAAGTGACTCCCCATTCCCCGCCCTCCCAGGGCAACTACAGCTTTACTTTCTGTCTTGATGAATCATACAATATCAAATGGAATTTTTAAGATATTTAAAATCTTTTGTCTGGAAGCGAAGTGGAAGTTAATATCAATGGCTATGCCTTCAGTGAGTTCTCAGACCACATTGCAATGTAGTTAACTATTTATCTTTTATTACGTTCTAGACCTATTATTTCTTTCTGGCACAAAAATATCTTCTTTGTAGATTATGGCATTTACCTCTATCTCCACACCTTTCTGCGTCTGTCATCCACAGATCATCAGCCTCTTGCTTAGTCTCCATTTAATGACAATTTCTATTTAGTATACAAGAGTCCTTCCCCCCGCAATGCAATTTCTTCACTCTGAAAAGCTCTGACTCTGGCTACTGGTCTCTGTTATGTACTCATCCCTAGAGCCATGTCTTCAAATATTTCTCAGAACTTCTTCACATCTAAAAATCTAGGATTAATTTATTGCTCTCTGATTATATTCTTCTGGTATTTCAAGTATCCTGTATAACTTCTTCATCTGCCCTTGCTTTTCTTCTACATCAAGATGTCAAGTTCATGGACTTCCCAATTAATCATTTTAAAAATTTATTTCAAGCCTTTATGAGTCACTACAATGTACATATGTTCTCAGGAATTATGGCCCTACAATTTGTATGTGAGAATAGTTCCTGTGTCAGGCATTATGGACATAAGAGTAAATAAATTCTAGCCCCTGCCTACAAGGAGCTAATTCCCAGCCTAAGACAGATTGCAAGCCAATAATATGCAGAGTTGTAAGACTAAGGAAACTGATTGGGATGTACCTAATTCGAGCTGGGAATATCAGAAGAAAAACTTTTTGAAAGTCATGAGACATGAGCTGTGCCTAAAAGAATAAAAAATAGAGTGAGAAATAAGAATAAATAAATTAGGGAATGAGATGGGTATAATAGTAGAAAAAGGAAATCTCCTTAGATAAAACAGGTTATGAGAGTATATAGGAGGCTTATTAACTCAGTGTGGTTGGAGAAAACAGGTTGAAAGGAGAAATAGGGGAGAAAGTTACAAAGGGAATCAAATGTGTTAGTAGTTGAGGGAAAAGCAAATATTGAACACGACCCATAGATCTTGGATAACCCAGTGTTTGGTAGTAGCTTACATAAAAGGTTGTGACAAAATAACCAGAGATATGTGGAGAAAATAATAACTGAGTGTTATATTTCCTCTCAGTAGAAACCTAAAAAAAAAAAATTTAATCACACCCTGATCTTTTAACTGACCTCCACTTATCTTGCTGCCTGGATTGGTATACATATTCCTCTGCCTGAAAAATTGCTCAACACTTTTGAAAGGTTGTTTCTCACTGTTACACCCAGGCATTTCTGCTAACACCAGCTGAGTTGTAAGGGGCCCTCCAGGAGGCCTAGGTTGTTCTCCTTATCACATATATTATTTTCATTTATCAATTTACCCAGAACATCTAATGAAATATATGGACACCAATAACATGAATACAAATATAGCTATAGACCCTAAAAAGTAAATTGATGTCTCTTGAAAGATTGTCATGTCTTAGATGCTAAATTTGGAGTATGTGTTTCTAATAAATACATAGCTTGCTTTAGTAATTCTGATTTATGAATGTAATATAGGGGAGCAGCTTTTATTTCATCCTTAATTTTAAAAAACAATTAGCCGGGTGTTGTGGCGGGCACCTGTAGTCCCAGCTACTCAGGAGGCTGAAGCAGAAGGATGGTGTGCACCTGGGAGGCGGAGCTTGCCGTAAGCCAAAATTGTGCCACTGCACTCCAGCCTGAGTGACAGTGTGAGACTCTGTCTCAAAAAAAAAAAAAAAGATCATACAAGGAGTAAATGATGATTTAGCATAAAACACAACTTGAGCCTAAAACACAGATCATAGGGCTCAAACTTTGTTATTTTATGGGATTATACTAACCAGTTAATATTCAAAATTTACCATTTCAAAAGAAGAAATATTGGTCTGGGAAAATTGCCATTGCTTATGCAGAAGAATGGAGGAATCTTTTTGAGAACAACAATTCTAATGATCTTCCTCATCACTGGTTCCAAAACCAAGCCCATGGAAGGCCTGCATATGGATAATGTGGAGAACATGCAAAAGAAATACACATCACCAGCTCCTCAACTCAGAGCTCCAAGGGAATGGCCAAGGAAGCTGTATTGTCCTAAGAAATTTGAGACTGTTTTGACTTACAATAAATCCTGCTCAATCATATGTATGTATACACACACACACACACACACACACACACACAGACGGTGTTGTCAGTGAAGCCTCTAACATTGCATCTTGACTGGACAGATTTGACAATTAAAATGGCTGGAAGAAAATAGGCTTCATAAGTGTCACTTACTATTCACATTACACATTAAAAGGACATCTCCTAAATTAAATCTTGTCTATGATAAAAAGGCAGAAAATCATGACCCAAGGCTCATTTATAACTGCAGAAATGTTCAAGATAGACCAATGCTTGCTATGTTTAGGAAGTGACAAGAAAGTACAGGTCTTTATAATCTACCATTTTGCCCCTTTTGATACCAGGTGACCTTCATAATGCAGGCTATAGAGAATTGCAAGATTTGTCAGAGATTTCAGGTCTTTGGAAAGCTATGCTCTTTCACAAGAACAGCCATGGAAACAGGAAGAAAGTCAATTCCCACTTAAGGTAATCAGAATTTACAAATATTCCTTTCTTCATTGAAATCTCAATAGGCACTTTGATATTATATTTAATTAATTCTTTTGTTACAATCATGCATCACATAAAAACATTTTGGTCAAGGATAGTGCACTTATATGACAGTGGTGCAATAAAATCATAACACTGTATTTGTACTGTACCTCTTGTATGTTTAGACATGTATAGATACACTTACTGTATAGATATAAGTAAGTATAGATATACTTAACTGTTGTGTTACAATTGCCTACAGTATTCAGTACAGGAACATGCTGCACAGGTTTGTAGCCTAGGAGGAATAGGCTATACCACCTAACCTAGGTATGTAATCAGCTATAGCATCTAGGTTTGTGTAAGTAAACTCTGTGATGTTCATACAATAATAAAATTGTCCAGCAATGCATTTCTCAGACACAACCCTGTCATTAAGTGACACATGACTGTATTAGTTAACACTATGGGAACTTCATGGGAAATGGACACTCTAGCTCCACCATAAATAGAAATTGTTTATGTCAAAAAACACATAAAAGCATAGTTGCAAGATTACAATTCCTTCCAGATATTTCATTTAGTATCTCCACAGATCACTAACTTCCTGAATAGCATTCTTGTGTCTCCACTGCCTCACATTTGATTTCAGGTCATTCCATCAATTGTCAAAGACGCATCCAACATTAACTTTCCAACTACTGGTTTGGATTGTGTCAACATTGTCATTCTGGGCCACAACAACACAAAAGGCTAACTCAGTGAGGTAACATAGACACTGATCAGTGAGATTTTGCTGAATGGGTGGTACCATTTTTTACCAAGATCAAGGGTATTCATACCTTCAGGCATCTATATAACATTGAAAAGTGCAGGTTCATAGATAAAAAGGGAAAGAGGAAGGGTTTTTGCAGTATATATGAGCTACCATGTCTCCTGTTTAACCTGAGTCTGAAGAGATTCAAAGTGCAGGTGCCATGAATGCCTCTTTAATAGCTCCATGTCGATTGATTTTCTGGGCTACACTTCACAGCATTCAAATTGCTAAATGCATATAAACTACTAGTGAATATTTATTACCTGGATTTGTGCTTTTGAGTGACCTTATCTATAGTTACGTGCTTCAGTGATCCAACTTGGGGTGCACTCCAAACTTTGATAAATTAAAGACCCTGCGTATTCCTTGAGTAATGCTACACTGACAACTGATTTAGTGAATGCCACTGTGAAAATAATAAACCTCTTGGTGAATATATTTAGACATGTCTTGTAACCTGTACACATCTTAACCAGGGATGTTACTTGGTCTTTTTATGTTCAGGAGTGTCTGGAGATAGAAAAACATACAGGATTGTAATTGTTGCCTGTGAGGCTAACAGAAAATTCAAGCTAGTGAAGTATGCTTATGCATGGCACACTTCTCACCAGCAATTTTAGGAAGTTCTACCCACAACCCATATGTCTTTTGATATGTGGGTTACCTTGGAGAGAGAAAAAGAAACTCTGAACACAAGCATGAAATACTTTCGAATTTTATCTAGAGTTGGACTTGTCCAAAAGCTTTTGTATAAACTTGCTTGATGAGCAACTGTTGTCCACTGGTACCTTCACCGTACAATCCACACACAACCAAACTTCACAACTGGACACCTAAATTTGCACTTTGTTTGGTAAAGTTGAATGAAAAATGTTGTCTTTTAAGCTTATGTTCTCTTATGAAAGCTGTTATTAGATTAATTTTACTCCAAGATATGCCAGTTAGGAAATAACTTCCCATTTAATTTCACCAGCTCCCTGTGGGTGGACTAATTAGTCATACATCACACTTACTCTGGTGGTGAAATGCCTCAGAAGAAGGTCTCCAGAGTGTTGCTTTACCTAGAATGACAAGAATGAAGAGACATAAAAATCATTCATTAAGAAGGAAGAAGATTTTCCTTGCCTAGGTTTTCACTTGTAGGATCCAATTAATTTTATTACTTAATATTTTATCCTGGTGGGCATTCACTTTACAAATTTGTAAGGTCAGTAGAAATGGAAACTTTTGGAAATCAAAATGTAAATGTTCTGTAGACGTTGACAGAAATAGCTATTTGGAGCTGTGTTTTGCCAACTAGACACTCTGAGAAAATCTGTGAGAGGATATTTTCAGGAAGTCATTGAACCCCCTAAAAATCAAGTTTATTGCTTTTACCATAAATATAAATAATTTATTTATTATCAACCACTTTCAATATTCCAATAAGTAACTTTATTGTTTATTTCATTGACATGATCTACATAGACATGCAATTTATCTTCTTTTGCGATACATTCAGAAAATTTGTTGCCTGGAAAAGCCATGTTTTGAAATTACCACCTGTTTGATGATTTTTTTTTTATACTCTAAGTTTTAGGGCACATGTGCACAACGTGCAGTTTAGTTACATATGTATACATGTGCCATGTTGGTGTGCTGCACCCATTAACTCGTCATTTAGCATTAGGTATATCTCCTAATGCTATCCCTACCCACTCCCCCCACCCCACAACAGGCCCTGGTGTGTGATGTTCCCCTTCCTGTGTGCATGTGTTCTCATTGTTCAATTCCCACCTATGAGTGAGAACATGCAGTGTTTCATTTCCACTTAAGTATCTATCTCTATTTGTCCTTTATTTTCACTTCCATCCTAGCTCTATCCCTTGTCTCCTTCGTGTGTCTCAGGATAAGTGCCCTATAACATTTTATATTTCTGGAAACCCTTCAATATAAAGTTATTACATGTAAAAATAAAAAGTCTGTTTTAGCAAACTCTTTCTTCACAAATTATCTTTTCCTAGTTCCCTATTAGACAATTTTTGTAGGCTCCATATGCTATTAATTTATATTCACTTTTAGAAGAATTTTCATCAAAAGCAAAAGTCTTATGTAAATTGTTTATATGCTATTTGTACTTCTGTGTATATATACACACATAGCCACATACATATATGTAACTCCGGAGGCCTGCCTGGACTGTTAAATAACTGTATTGAACAAGAGCAAGAAAAAGCTGTTCAAATTTCAAACAACAAGTTGAACTGAAGAGCTCACATCTTTGAATGAAATAGACACTAGTAGCCTTTAAAAATTAAACATTTCTACTGTTTTAAAAAATTATAGCCATCATAGTATGAGGAAAAAATGTAATAATCCTTTTTAATTCTTGCCATTTTATTAACCACGGAGTCCTTATGCCCTGACTTCATTGGTACCACTTTGAGATTAAACAGAACAATTAATTTAAAATTCTGATAAATAAATAAATTACACCATTTACTTGAGGTACTCTTTCACCTTTCAAGTAATATTTTGATAATTTATTAGCTAAATATTGCTATAATGCAGGCTAGTAATAAATGGAAATAAGGATTTCATTGTAAAGTTTAAACTAATGATGGTATGATCTGGAATTTTTGTTAACCTAGAAGACATAATTAGCTCTACAGGTGAAATGAAAGACAAAATCACTTCACATATTAGTAAAAAACAAATAATATAACTTTAAAAGCTACTGCTGTTCTTTTGCTGTTAAGAACCAATGACATCTGTAATTAGGGAAGATTATGGAAAGGTTAAAGGTGAGAATACATGCAGTCTATATACAGGAAACCCAAACTGTTTAGGTTAAGGAAATGTCTGCAAAAGTCATATTAATTAGCAGGTTCACAGGAAACTAATATTTATTGTATAAATTCCATGGTCAAATGTATTAGGGCTCCACGCACACAACTGTGCACCATCTATGTTACCACACAGTGCTTACTTCTTTCAGTTTTTATTCATTTCTCTCCTAATGGTCTGTATGGTATTATTACATAGTTCTAAAAACCTTCCATGAGGCAGAAATTTCATTTAATGATACAGCCTCAAAAATAATGAAAAACAGTAGAAACTTTCTATTTTTTTATGAAGCAGAATTATTGAATTTTCAGTTTCATTTATTTAATGTTACAAGAGGACAAACATATTTCTTTAATTCCTTCTTATTATTTTTGTCTAACATCAACCAAAGCCATTTCTTTCATTTGAAGGTGAAAACTGCTCATCAAAATCCAGTTTAAGCTGAGAAACAAATAACTAAATTTTGCATGAGACATTATACACTGCATAAATATAAAACAGGACCAGAAACAATGGTGGATTAGCAATTTTTAAAAAGACAAAAGCAGGTTATCATCAAATCAATTGTTACCAACACACCAATGCCACCTCTAGGCCAGAAAATTAGCCACTTACCCATGGGAAAACAATGATTGAAGACAAAGTTCACCAATGAAAGTTGGTTAATTTTTTCCATCCTTGCATCAACTAAAATGATATCTACAGTTCCTCTTAACACTTTTCTTACTTTCAAATATGTGGGTATGCTTCATTAGCTGAGGCCATGTTCCATATGTACATCTGGCTACAAGGGAAACTGGGAATGTGAGCACTGATCCTAATGTTTGTAGAGTATTTAGAAGTTTGAGAATTCCCTCCAAATAAAGAGTTTTCTAAAACATTGTTAGACAAAAAGTTTGAATTACAAAATATGGTAGTAGCTCAGGTCTAACCCAAATGCAGGGAAAAAACTATTAACTCTAAAAAAATTAAATACACATTTGATGGTAATGAGAAACAGAAAACAGGCAGAAATAGTAGAATACTCCACTAATGATGAAGTATTTGACCATTGAATAAAGAAAATTGCAATGATTTAAATTTGCATCAATGCAACTTCACACCTGATGACGCTTCCCAGTCTGTGCAAAATTAGATGTCTATGAGTAAAGCGGTGAGTTTTACTAGCTTGAGGAATAAGAGCACAGAGTTCCAGGCTGACAGAAAAGAGCAACTGGGAAATTTGAATGACATGGGAGGAAATCTCACACAACTGAAAGTCACAGAGGAGAATATCACAGAGTAAAAATCTAAAATCAGCACTTCAACTTCATTCAGATATATCATGGCTGCTACATTTCACATTCATAAAAGGAGACTCCATAGAATCCAGCAGAAAACAACAGCTAAATTGCTAGTACAGAGCAGAGATTTCAACCATTGCATATAGCTCAGGAGTGAAAGTTTGGTGTTTGACTACGGAAAGAAGACTAATGTTAGAAAAGAGTCATTCTTCAAAGGAAAATAAACGAACCTATCTCTACAAAATATCATACACATAATCTAACATATAATTTAACCTGCCTAGACATAGAACCAGGAAAATATGACACATAACAAAAAAAGTAAACAATGGATTAAGACATTGAAATGGCCCACATGCTGGAATTAGAATATAAGAAATTTAAAATAAGCTATTATAAGCATATTCAAGGATTTAAGGAATAGATGGTCATAAGAGGGAATATATGGAGAATCTCAACAGAGAAGTAAAAATGATAAAGAGATAATAGGACAAATTTTAGAACTGAGAGACAGAATATCTTATATAAAAATGTCATTTTATGTTCATACCAGTAAATTAAAGATGGCACAAAAAATTATCAGTGCACTTAAAAACAGATCAAGAACAATTTCCCAATACAGTTAATACAAAGGAAGAAAAATAATAAAAATAGGGCCAGTCTAGCACTAATATAATTGGAGTCCTAGAAAGAGTAGAGAAGTAAATGAGACAGAAACAGCTATTTGAAAAAGTAAAGACCAAAAGTTTTCCTAATTGTCAGCATATATCAACTTACAGGTTTAAGAAACTCAAAGAACAGAATAAAAATAAAGAGAACCAAATGTAGACATACCATAGTCAAACCACTGGGCAAAAAAAAGAGTAAATCTTGAAAGTAGCTAAAGGGAGGGAGAAAATAATTTACATCCGTGGAAACAAATAGACAGATGACCTGTCATCAGAAATGACACTTTAAAAAGCAATGAAACTACATCTTCAAAAGAAAACTGTCAACTCCAAATTCTATAACTAGATAAAGTAATTCTTGAGAAAAGAAAGATTTATTCAGATAAAAGAAAGCTTCAAACAATTGTCATTAGCAGACCTAGATACAAGAAATGCAAACGGAAATTTTTTAGGCTAAAGAAAGATAACAACAGATGGAAATTCTGACCTACAGGAAGCAAGGAGAAGCTCTAGGAATGGCATGTGCATAAACGTGAAAAACTAACGCTTTTTTTTTTAGTTTTATAACAAACAACTGATGCTTTGAATAAAAAATTAAGTGTACTATTGATAATGTGTGTAAAATATTCTAAATTAATAGCTCTGACAGGAGACTAAACGCAACAATTTTGCCGCAACTTTTCTTTATGTTACATGAAAACGCTGACTATTAACACTAAGTGGACTGCGATAAGCCCAGGATGTTTATTATAATCCCTAGAGAACCACCACATTATATGAAGATATTCTTCTAAAATGCCAATAAAGGAATTAAAATGGAACGCTGAATATTGTTCAGTTAATATAAAAAGGCATGAAAGAAAGAGGAGCAAAAAATGATGGAACAAATAGAACATAAGAGCAAAATAGGCTGGGCGCAGTGGCTCAGCCTGTAATCCCAGCACTTTGGGAGGCCGAGGCGGGTGGATCACGAGGTCAGGAGATCGAGACCATCCTGGCTAACACGGTGAAACTCCGTCTCTACTAAAAATACAAAAATTAGCCAGGCATGGCGGCGGGCGCCTGTAGTACCAGCTACTCCGGATGCTGAGGCAGGAAAATGGCGTGAACCCGGGAGGCAGAGCTTGCAGTGAGCCGAGATCCCGCCACTGCACTCCAGCCTGGGTGACAGGGCCAGACTCCATCTCAAAAAAAAAAAAAAAAAAAAAAAAAATAGTAGGCTTAAATCCAACCTTTTCAGTAATTATTTCAAATGTAATTTAAATACTCCAAATAAAACACAGATTGTCCAACTGGATAATAAAAGTACCTATAAGAGATGCATGCCAAATATTATGGTATAGATAAGTTGAGAGTAAAATAATTTCCAAGTATACCAAGGAAAAAACAAGGACAAGAAATCTTATGTGGCTTTATTAATATAAGAAAAAGTAGACCTCCAAACGAGCAATATTACAACAGACAGCTATTTCATAATGATAAAATGTCAAGTAATTATGAAGACATAATGCTGTATTGCTGACAGAATAACTAAAGAAAATTAAGATAAAATAATTTTGACAACAGCTTGACCTAATCGATATTGACCAAGACAATAGAATATATGTTCTATTATGCTACACATGAAACATTTATCAATAGGCTATAGACCACAAAATATCTCTCAAGAAGTTTCAAAACACTGTAATCATGGAAAGTATGCTTTCTGACCATAATGAAAATGAGTTGAAATGGGTAAAAACAAGCTACCCAGGAAAGTCTACACTATTGGAAGATTTAAATACACCTTAAAATGCCCTTTAGCTCAATGAAGAAATCATAAGAAACACCTTTAAATACATTGAACTGAATACAAATAAAATATACTATATCAAAATGTATGGGATAAAGTTAAGCAGACCCAGAGTAAATTTTTTGTATAAATGCTTATTCTAGAAAAGAGAAGTTCAAAACAAGTGAACTAATTTTCTACCTTAAAAAGAAAATCTAAAACAAGAGAGCAAATTAAGTCCAAAACAAGTAGAGGAAAGGAAATAAAACAGAAATTAGAAATCAATGAGACAGAAAACAGAAACAGGAGAAAATCAACATGGCCAAAAGTTAGATCTGTGAGAAAGAAAGAAAATGCAAATTATACATATCAGGGATTAATGAGATTGTACAGTTGTAGACACAAGAGACATTAACAAGATAATGGAATATTGTGAAACATTATATACAAATTTTCATTACTTGGATGAAAGGGTGACTTCCTTGAAAAAAACTTATAAAAAAATTCACAAGATTTAATGGAACATATGAAGTAATTGACATTTATTAAAGTAATTAAATTAATTGTAAAATACCTGCACATAAAAACATAAAATTAAATAAATAAAAAAATAAGCAAACCCCAGATCTAAAGAATTTCACTGGTGAATTCTTTCAAACGTTTAAAAAAAATAAAATTTTTAAATTATTTCAGAAATAAAGAAGGGGGAAATTCCAAACTTGTTTTATGAGTCAGAATCCTGATACCAAAATTACAAAACCTAGGAATGCAAAATTGACTTCAACTTAAAGAGCTATCACCATTCTAATCTGTGATTCTAATGAATTTTGCTATCTTAGATACTTTATACAAGTGGAATCATACAGTTTGTCCTTCTGTGACTGATTTACTTTACTTAGCATTAATGTCCTCTAGGTTCATCCATGTTGCATATTGCCGGGCTTTCTTGTTTTAAAGCTGAATAATATTCCGTTGTATGAATATACCACATTTTCTTTATCTTTTCATCTGCCAATAGACATTAACCTTATTTCCACATTTTAATTAGTGTAAATAATGCTGCAATGAGCCTGAGAATCATCCCAATCTCCATTCTTTCAGATAAATAACCTGAAGTGAGACTACTAGATCATATGGTAGTTCTACTTTCTTAATTTTTTTGAGGAACCACCGTACTGTTTTCCATAGAGGCTGCACAGTTTTACTTTCCCAGAAACGCTGTAGAAGTGTTCCAATTTCTCCCCATTGTTAACACTCGTTATCTTTTTCTCTTAATAAGACCATTCTAAAGGGCTTGAGGCAATATCTCTTTGTGGTTTTGATTTGCATTTCCCTGATTAATGATGCTGAGCATTTTTTTCATGTATCTGTTGGTCATGTGGATATTTTCTTTGGAGATATATCTATTGCTGATTTAAAAAAAAACTCTCAGCAAGCTAGATAAAGAAATTTTCTCGAAGTGATGGAAAGCATCCACAACAAAACATATAAACAATACTATATTTAATGGTGAAAGCGTAAATGTTTAAACCACATAGATTAGGACAAGAAAGGGATGTGTGTGTTCATCACCTCTATTCAACATTGTACTGGTGATCCTAGATTTTGAGTATAAATATTTAGGGGACAACTATTGTCACTGAAGCCCAAATCTTGGTCATCCTCAGAAAAAAAAAAAGTTGATTAGGTTGTATATAATCTAATTCTACTTGCTAATTTAATTTCTCAAAAATTGCAGCTTCTATCAACTCTAGAATTTATTAGGCACCTCCTAGGACACAAACACTGGAATTTGGTGAGAGACGTCAAATAGGAAAGAACCTGGCTCTGACATAAATTCAACACACGGAGGGGGACACATGTTATGAGACTGACCTGGCCTCTCCAACTCATAAAAGGGGTTCTTGTTGCTGGTAACACAGATTAAAACTATTTCAATTACATTCAAGATAAAAAGATTAGCAATGGTATGTAAGATGAAAAAATCACCCCGCAGGAAGACGAAAGTCTCACAAAAGGATATTTAAGCTAGCCAACACTTTGAAATTCAGGCAGAGATCGTGCTTTCTGGGTGAACTAAAGTAGCAAGAACAAAGTAGAGGCTCCAATTCTAGGAAAAATGGGCCCTAATAAGGTTTACAATCCAGAAACTCAAGATATCCAGACAGAAGGATGCAGTCTCCGCTTTCAAGGCAGCAGCAGTACCTGGATTACTAAGCCAATCCCCAACACAATCATAAACACAAATTTGATTGAGGAAGAAGCTTGCCCACCAGAAGATTTAGGTTATTACAAGGTAGAAAGTGATAGAGAAAATGAGCATGGGACTGGAAAGAAAAGGAGGTAGCCCCATGATTACAACTGGAATATATCTGTCAGCAATGGTGCGGAAATAAGACTGAAGAGAGAGATCCTTAAACCCCAAGTGCCTTACATCAGGACTAATCCTGGACACAGGCTGGAAAGCATAGCCTACAGGTGGTGAGGGAGGAGGAGTGGGCTCAGCTGTGAGAAGGAGAAGGAAATATGGCTGAAAACCAGATAGGGGTCTTGAAATCACACAGAGGATTTGGGCCTTTGCTGCTGTCTGCCAGCATCTGCCAGTAGTTCTCACACTTTGGCTGGCAACAAAATCACCTGGGGCAGTGGTGCGGAAGCGGGGGGAGTGTTGTAAAACCACAAGTGTCCAGGCAAAAAACACCTGTATGTTTTCCAATTCAGTAAGTACAGAAATATTAATTGGAAAAAGGTGGAGGTCAGACATTCATAGTGCTGTGGACTGCTCCAGGGACGTAAGCATGATCTTTAGAGAGGTGACTCTAATCAGTTGAGGGCAACCACTGGACAGAAAGAGGTCCAGACCAACCGTACACAGAGACATCATACAACTACACTTTAGCAACCTCTCCAAATAACATGTCTCTTAGTGAAACTTGGGAGGTTGAAAGTTAAAAACATAAAATCCAGTGGCATTTATGTATCCTAGGCCCTTACATTTGTCTGATTCTTCCAACTTGCCTTTGCTTGGTTAGAGTTTTGGGTAGATAAGAGGTGGATTTACATGTGCTAGTGTGAGAACTTTGATACACTCATTTAGACATTGACCTACTATCTTGATGTTTGAAAGCTAAAACCCAAAGAAATTTGTCTTTTTACATAAAACAAATTCAGCCCTTGCCTTCCTTGTAGATTACATCTTCCACTAGCAGTAATAAAAAAATAACAATATGCATAAGTCAAAGTATCTTCTTAGATCCTCTGTAGTGTTTTATTATTTAGTTGTGTTAATTAAAGTAACTGTCTCAAAATTTCAAGGAATGCCTGAGAAGCAATTCATGTTCAAAGGCTGCCCTCTTGTGACAATGTGTTGTATGCTTTACTGTAAAAGTAACCTTATTTTACCTTATAACCTCTACAATCCAATTCATAACAGCATAAAAAGGAAACAAAACCTTACATAATTTTGAATTTTAAAAAGTACCTTGTTTATATGGCTCCTTTAGCTAATGAATAGTCAATTTGGTAAATATTCCAGTGAGTTGAAGGTTTGAATCTATCTCACTTAACTAGCTTGATGAATGTATTTCTAAACCTATACAACCCACTCCTCTGCTTTTAAAAAATTAAAGTTAGCTGTAGATTGAGATGTCAGTGACACAGTTTATAGAACATAACTTAGATTGTCATCTACATTACTGTAACTACAAATACCACCCTCAGATGGAAGAATCAGTTTTATCAGTGAACATCTCTAATTGAACTATAAATGGTGTATGTCTTCTGGCTTTTACAAGCTCTTGGTCTAACAAAGGGGATATATGATGTAAAAATTACAAAGCAAGGTCACTCACGGTGGCTCATGCCTGTAATCCCAGCACTTTGGGAGGCCAAGGCGGGCGGATCACAAGGTCAGGGGATCAAGATCATCCTGGTTAATATGGTGAAACCCCATCTCTACTAAAAATACAAAAATTAGCTGGGTGTGGTGACACACGCCTGTAGTCCCAGCTACTCAGTAGGCTGAAGCAGGAGAATCGCTTGAACCCAGGACGCGGAGGTGGCAGTGAGCCGAGATCGCACCACTGCACTCCAGCCTGGTGGCAGAACAAGACTCCATCTCAAAAATAAATAAATAAATAAATAAATAAATAAATAAATAAATAAATAATAAAATAGCAGTGAGTATAATGTTTTGTGATGTTAAACTTTGAGAGCTTTTTTTTTCTTTCTTTTCCCAAGTGCCTTTCCCAGTTCCAGGAGCAGAGTTATTCTAAGCTCACTGATGTAAAGGAATAGAACGAAAAGGTTTGTTGGAAAACCTAATAACCTGCTATCTTTCTGTCTTTTGTTTTTTAAAAGCTTGAGCATTTGGGAGAATTTGGAAAGATTGTGGAGTAAGTGCAAAGAAGGAATTTGCTAACAAAAATCATATAGGGTAAAATGAGTTTTTTCCAGGTTAGAAAATATCCACTCTCTACCCTCCTACATTCCTTTCCCATGGTTAAGAAGAGGAAAAAACAAAGGCCTCTTGGTGAGCAGTGGTGACTTAGGCAGTTTCTTAGAAATATTCTAGAAGGCATAGTCATCTTTTAAAAAAAATAGCTACAAGGATATGTCTAAGCAGAAGGGTCCATGGGCCAAATTACGTGTAGATTTTTGCATTCCAAATATGGTAAAGAAGAAGCAGTAAGCTGCGGCTCCTAAACAGGTCACACAGAAATGGACAAGGAAGAGGCCAGCAGCAGCTTGTGGGGACAAGATGTCAAGCCCCAAATGTTAAACCCACCAACCATCCTCCAAATTCTGGCTCTGTTTAACAAGGCTGTGGTCTGACACTACATGCCGCCTCAGTGACTAAAGCATAATTTCCCGTCTCCTGGGAGTGTTGACAGCTGACTCCTGGCAACAATACTCACAGCACAGTAAAGTTCCTTCATCCAAGTTCATGTCCCTTCTCAAGGCATCCCACATCCGAGAACTGCTTGGTACAGAAATATAATGACCTGGTTCTCTTGCTCCAATTCGAGGTCATTAGGTAAACTCACCAAGATCCTTGTAGAGTGGACTGCGGCCATGATAGTGATTGCATTCCAGCCGACTTCCTGCTCCACCCAATCCTATTGCTTTCACTCTTCCACAGGTGTTGGGAATATCACTTCAACCTCCTTGCATGCAAATCTCCAACTCGGAGTCGGCTTCCTAGGACACCTGACTGGTGATATCTCTATCACTATCACAGTACTTAGAGGGGAGCATCTTAAAATGATTTAAGGCTAACTGCCCTAACAGCACAGGCAGATGGTGGCTTAAAATAGAATTTAAGTGGATTTAAAAAAACATGAAAAAGTTGACATTGCACGCTCATATGAGCTTATGGATCAAACCATGTGTATGATTTCTAAGATCCCTCGTGCAGTATATATTTGCACTGTTTATAAATGACATCCCCTTGAATTGAATTCAGTGCAATTCAAAACAGTAATTTGTGGGAAAAATTAGATATGCAGATAGCCTGGACTCCAGAGAGGCACACATCATTTGGAGAATAACAGTGAACCGGCTGGTCTATGAGGGAAGAAAACAGAGTGAATATAGACTATTAGTGAACAAGGATATTTTCCCATGTATATTCAAATTAAGGTGAACTTCTTTAGAGAATTGTGCCTTAGAAAGAAAAACTATTTCCCTATATTTGAGTCCTCACAAGTTTTCCTACGATGAGTGCTTTTGTGATTATTTTGAATAACAAAGTAATATTTAAAGAAATTCTCTTGCCCTGAATGTACTTTATGTCAATTGATGTTGCATATAGAGAGCATCAGAGTCAAGCCACAAGAAAAGGAGGAACATAACTTAGCAAAGACTTAGAGGATTAGTCCTAATAGTGTGAAATCAAAAGTTCAAGTGAGGGAATAAATGCAGCTTTTAATGATTACTTAAATGAAGTTTAACTCTGGCAGGATCTACAAGAAATTGGCAACCTTTGGCTTCAGTAACAGAAACTCAGGATATATGCCCTTCAGTGCTTTTGGATTCTGCGTCATATTGAGAGAGACTCCTTTAAACAAGCAATAAGAAACTTCCTGTGACAACATAATAAATTCAAAAAGTTCTGTAACTCAGACAATTTAGATAGAAGTGAGGACTTTGGCCTAGACATCCCTGTTCACTCTAAAGATGGATTAAACAAGGAAAAAGATATTGATATCAAAAATTCAATCAGGAATTTGATTAAAGCATTTCATTAAATGTGATAATTTCTTAGTATATTATCTTACATATGCAATATTCATGTGTAACAAATTAAATACAAGTAAACATTTGAGCATATTATCTGCAGCATAATTTACATATCAATTTACATATTCAGTTTTGCTCACATGAAAACTTCCATCTTCTCAATAAGAAAACTTGTGAAATCTTTAATTCCTCATCCACAAGAATGTAAATAAATAAATATAAATATTGTAAGTCAGTGATTTTTTCCTAGGAAGACAATAAAAATACTTTACACGCCTTCTCATTGTAAACCTAAATAACAAACAGAGAAAGGCTCTCTAAAGGAAAAAGACACATCTTAGGGAGGAGGGCACTGCAATGGGAATATGCATGACTTTTTGTTATAGTTATCTTTGACTATAAAGATCAACAACAAGGTCGATGTCAGTTGAAGTTTGGGCAGGTGGTTGCTGGACAGATGTCCTCACAGAAGTGTATTTTGTGTAAGGTTGCTATGGCCTTTGTGCAAGGTTGTGGATTTTGTGGTATTTTGTGATAGTTTGTATCAGGCCTAGAAGCACGAGAACCCTCTCTTCAAGGCCTTCTCTGAATCTATTTGTCCAGGTTTTTTCTTTTCTTTTTAAACATTAGTGACAGTTTTGATTCTGATAACTTTTATATCATGATCCCTAATTTCAAAAAAAAATTAAATGTGTAACTTATTTATGATGTATTTGATAGGCTTGGATTTATGAATCACCTCTACTATCTATAGTGGTAGATATATCTGAGCCTACTTACACAGCACTTCCATCAGATTTTCTCTTCAGTGGAATTGGAAGAGGGGGATTTTGGAGAAGGGGATGAAGGAATTGTGCTGCATCAGAGGTCCCCACCTAACAGCACAGGGACTTTTTCTGTGCTCTTGCCAGGCCGTTGTATTAGGCTGATGCAAAAGTAATTTTGGTTTTGTCATTGAAAGTAATGAGACCATCTGACTTACAATGTCTGTGCCGTAAGCAGCTCCTAATAGCCTCCTAGGACAGCTTTGCCCTGACATACACTGTCCTGTAACCACGTCTGCTTTGTAACTCCTGAGGTAGCTGCCACCATGACCAATGCCTTCTCATCTTTACTCTACATGCAGGTAACAGTTATAATTATATCTCTGTGTATTCACAGAACATTTAGTACATCTGGGACTTCTACAAAATTTCCCTAGCTGATTTTGGTGTTCTAGTGTCCTGGTAGCTCTAGCCATGAAGGGATGATGCTTTATCAGAATTTCTGTTGAGTTTTTTGCTTTTTCTCACAAACTGATTCCACTTTCCCCACATACATTTGACAATTCATTTGAACTCATTTATTCTAAACCCATTATTTTTTGTCTATTATTTAATAGGGAGGGGGGCGAGGGATAAAAGATAACAAATAAGGTGCAGTGTACACTGTTCGGGTGATGGGTGCACCCAAATCTCACAAATAACCAGTAAAGAAGTTATTCATGGAACCACATACCACCGTACCCCAATAACCTATGGGAAAAAAAATAAAAAATACAATAAAAAAGAGTCAGAAAAAAAGAAAATAATCACTGTACTTACCATGACATTTAGAAAGGTGGTTAGCATTATTTGTGTCACCTAATAATATTATTATTTTTTCTTTATGCTTCAAACTAGCTCTGCTATTACAATCACTACTATTTGAAGTGTTACTAAATTAAATTAAATTTATTGTATCCTTCTGGACTCAGAAATGGGGGTAAATGCTAAGACAATTTCAGAATATGATCACATATTAAAGGCATATTATATGGGGAAAATGTGATTTTTAAAAAATAGAAATTGGTAGAGAAACAGTTTTTGGGTCTCTTTAATTTCCGCAATTTTGCAAGTTTGGACGCTGACTTTCTTGTTCCAAATGATTGTTTTCAAGAATGTTTGTATAGAAAACAGCCTTGGAATAGAAAACCAGTACCTCCTTCTGGAACAAAGGAAAAGTTTGTTTACTGTCTAGTATAATGCAGATAATTTCTCCCTCTTGGGAAGGGTACAGCCAAGTGAACTTCCCATAATACAAGTTGGGGTTTCTTGAGCTTGGGTTTTTCTTCCACAGTGTAATGTGCAGGTGCCACTTGGCTCTCTTTGTGTTATCCTGGGAAAGCTGATGGCTGTAGGTGCATGTTTATTTTGGGGTTCTCTATTGTGTTTCATTGGTCTTTGTGTCTGTTTTCATATCGCTACCATGCTATTTTGTCTATTGTGGCCTTAGGGTATAGTATGAAGTCAAGTAATGTGATGTCTCCAGCTTTGTTCTTCTTGCTTAGGTTTCCTTTGGTTGTCTGGGCTCTTTAAAAATCCATATGAAATTTAGAATATTTTTTTTCTAATTCTGTGAAAAACGACATTGGTTGTTTCATAGGAATAATGTTGAATGTGTAGATTGCTTTTGGCAGTATAGCCATTTTAACAATATTGATCATTCTAATCCATGAGCATGGAATAGTTTTCCATTTGCTTTGTCATCTATGATTTCTTTCTGCAGTGTTTTGTAGTTCTCCCTTTAGATATCCTTTACCTCCTTGCTTAGACATATTCTTCTTTTATTTTATTTTATTTTGGGGGTTGCTGTTGTAAACAGGATTGCACTCTTGATTTACCTCTCAGTTTAAACATTTTTGGTGTACAGAAATGCTACTTCTTTCCATATGTTGATTTTTTTAATCCTGAAAGTTTGCTGAAGACTTTTTTTATCAGTTCTAGGAGCCTTTTGGCACAGTCTTTATGGATTTCTAGGTGTAGAATCATATCATCAGTGAAGAGAGATAATTTGTCTTCATTTCCTATTTGGATGCCTTTTATCGCTTTCTCTTGCCTGATTGCTCTGGCTAGGACTTGTTAAACAGGAGTGGTGAGAAGAGGCATCCCTATTTTATTCCTGTTCATAAGGGGAATGTGTTGGGAGAAAAGCTGAGTGTTGGAAGAGAAGCTGAGGCAGGGCCATATGTTTCTCATTCACTTGATACACCGTTTCCTTTCAACCCTTAAATCCTCACCACCTGTTTGTTTGAGCACCAACAAATAGCGTAGGCTCCCAGAGCTTGGGGACTTTGCAGACTCCACACTCGTGATGGTCTCCTGGTCCCACTTTCTCTCTCAAACTGTCTTTTTCTCATTCTTTTGACTCTGCCGGACTTCATCACCCCCATGACCTAGTGTTGGGTCTGATCACCCCCAACATTCCTGGCACCCAACATGGGGTGACAAAGACCCGGTGAAGGAAGGCTGGAGCATGTGAAAGCAGAGGACACAACATCAAAAGACACCCGAGGACATACAAAGATGGGGAATGAAATTTAGTACTTAGAATTTGTTATCACTCTTTAGTACAGTAAAGCAGTTTTGCCCATGGTTTCCAGAACAAAGGACTATGAAGTTGGATGAATGGGAGAGAATTGGAAGAGATTTTTTAAAAGGCATATAAAGATGGAGCAGAAATTCCAGGTTCTGTATGGTCAGTGTGGGCACTAATAAAGGCAGCCCTTGAGCCATTTCAAACAGATGATGAGGCAGACTCAGATGAGGAAGAGGAGGATGAGTGTAAAAAACTAACTTCAAATTCTGAGTGTGGGGAGCAGCTACCAGAGGAGATTAAAGAAAAGAAAGAAAAACTTTAAAAAGTATGTTTTAATAGCCCGTTGGCTCCACCTGCCGAATTAAGTGAATGGCCACCTCCTCTCTCTCCTCTAAATGGGTGAGAAAATAAATTGGCTGAAAAACTTACTGCTCCTGTAGTTACAACATTAAAATCTGGAGCAATTGGTGGTGGTAGACAAAATTCTATTCAAAAAGCTAAAGCCAAGGGAGACCTTGAAGCATGGCAATTTCCCGTTACTATAATCCAGCAAGTAGGACAGAATATAGCTAATTAGGCTGCTTTCTCTTTTAAGTTACTAAAGAATTTAAGCAAGCCATTAGTCAATATGGACTGAACTCTCTTTTTGTGCAAACTTTATTTAAAAATATGGCTCTTGATAATAGATTACTACCATATAATTAGGATACTTTGACAAAACCTGTTCTCACTCCATCTCAGTACTTGCAGTTTAAAACTTGGTAGGCTGATGAAGCTCAAACTCAGGCAAAAGAAAACACACAACTGCAGCCACCTGTGCCTGTTTTCTTTGATCAGTTAATATGAGTTGGCCCTAACTGGGGTTGATTAGAGAATCAAGCACTAATGGAAGATGTTGCCATTGTTCAGCTGTGCTTCATGTGCTTACATGCATAGAAAAGGATAAATGTTACAGGGGAAAAGTATCCTTATTTCAGTTCTGTCTGACAAGGACCTAAAGAACCATATGTTAATTTTATTGCTCAGCTCCAAGAGGCTGTGTATAAAGCCGTAAATGATCAAAACAGCTCAGGATGTTGTAATACAGCTTCTTGCATACAATAATGCTAATACACAGTGTCAAACTGCTATTAGATCCCAGAGAGGGCCCATTTAACTAAATATATTAAGGCTTGCGATGGCATTGGAGATAACTTACATAAGGTTATTCTTTTAGCTCAGGCTGTGGCTAGATTAAGAGTAAGGAAAAAATATGCTTCATTTCTCAGGCTCTTTCCTTAATTGTGGGCAAATTGCACACAAGAAAGGAATGTAGAAAGGAATTCAAAAGACGAAAACTACTACCATCAATCAACAGAAAAGTCCCAATGTACGTCCCTGGTGTAAGAAAGACAATCACTAGGCTAGTCCGTGTCATTCTAAATTTAGCAAAGATGGACAACCTCTTTCAGGAAATAGGAAGGGGGACCCGCCTCAAGCCCCTCAACAAACTGAGGCATACCCAGCACAGCCACTGCCCTTACAAATGTATAGCAATTGTCCCCCGCCTCAGCAAGCAGTGCTGCTGTAGACCTCTACAGCACAATTCCCATCTCCTTACTTCCTGGGGAGCCACCAAAGAAGGTCCCCACAGGAGTTAGGGCACCCTTACCCAGAAGAACTGTTGGGAACAAGCCTCCCCAAATCCGGCCATAAACTGGCCCCAAAACTGGCCATAAACAAAATCTCTGCAGCAATGTGACATGTTCATGATGGCCATAACACCCACGCTGGAAGGTTGTGGGTTTACTGGAATGAGGACAAGGAATACCTGGCCCGTCCAGGGTGGAAAACCACTTAAAGGCATTCTTAAGCCACAAACAATAGTATGAGTGATCTGTGCCTTAAGATTAAGGGATACTTTTAGTTAATCTAATATCTATAGAAACAATGCTAATGACTGGCTTGCTGTTAATAAATACGTGGGTAAATCTCTGTTCAGGGCTCTGCTCTGAAGGCTGTAAGACCCTCCACCCCGATTTCCCACTTCACACCTCTATATTTCTGTGTGTGTGTCTTTAATTCCTCTAGTGCTGCTGGGTTAGGGTCTCTCCAACAGACCTGGTCTCAGCAAGTGGTGCCCATACATGGGGACTCGAATACAGGTCAAAGGATCACTGGAGCAACGACTGGAGAATGTGGAACTAGCTGGAGGACACCCGAGTACTCTTAAAGCAATCCCCGTGGTGAGTTAGAAGGGGAGCTCTGAAGCATCAGGGTAGCAATAGGACAAGTGTGGGCTGTGGTTCGTTCTACCTTGGAACTTTTTCACACTGATGATGAGGAGAAAGGAGAGTATAACAAAGTAACAGTAGAGGTTACAGACCAGGTTTATTTGTCACCTAAAGCTAAAGCATAAAAGGAGGGAGAGGTTCATCCCTACCCTTCTGCACACCGTCATTATTATTTTGAAGAAAACGACCCTCCAGATCTTTCTTTTCTGGAGGACACTGGGTGAAAAGTAGTTGCCCTGGTGACTGTTCGAGCAGCGCCTTGAGCGACTGCTCTTAGTTCTATTCAGGCAGGAATACAGCAAGCTAGACAAAAGTGGGATTTAGAGGCTTGGCAGTTCCCTGTTTGAATACACTCCCCAGATCAACAGGGAAATATTATAGCTACATTTGAGCCTTTTCCTTTTAAATTACTCAAAAAATTTAAACAAGCTATAAATCAGTATGGACCAGGTTCTCCTTTTGAAATGGGACTGTTAAAGAATGTTGCTGTTTCCAGTCGGATGATTCCTACTGACTGGGACACTCTTACTCGAGCTTGTCTAACTCCTGCTCAGTTCTTACAGTTTAAAACTTAGTAGGCAGATGAAGCTTCCATTCAGGCTGCTCGCAATTCCTGGGCCCAACCTCAAATTAATATAACTGCAGACCAACTTTTGGGGGTTGGTGGCTGGGCTGGTTTACATGCACTAGTGGTCATGCAGGATGATGCCATAGAACAGCTTAGAGGAGTGTGCATTAGAGCTTGGAAAAAATCACTTCATGTGGAGAACAATACCCTTCCTTTAGTGCTATAAAACAGGGACCAAGAGAACCATATGTGGATTTTATAGCTTGGTTACAGGAGTCTCTTAAAAAGATGATTGCAGATTTGGCTGCTTAGGATATAGTGTTGCAGTTATTGGTTTTGACAATGCTAATCCTTATTGCCAGGCTGCTCTGCGACCTATCAGAGGGAAAGCACATTTAGTTGATTATAACAAGGACTGTGATGATATCAGAGATAATCTACATAAAGCTACTTTGTTGGCACAGGCGATGGCAGGACTGAGAGTGGATAAAGGAAATACTCTATTTCCTGGAGCTTGTTTTAACTGTGGGAAGCGTGGTCATACTAAAAATAATGTAAAAAAAAATCACGGAGTCAGGCCACCAGATAGGGGAAAAAGAAAACTGCTGATCCTGAAATATGTCCAAAATGTAAAAAAGGAAATTTTGGGCTAATCAGTGTCACTCTAAGTTTGATAAAGATTTGAACCCGATTTTGGGAAACTCCCTGAGGGGCCCATCCCAGGCCCTGTTCTAAACCAGGGCATTTCCAGCTCAGGCCATTCTCTCACCCCCATACGTTATCTGTCCCCCACCACAGCCCATAGTGCTGCAGTAGATTTTTGCTGCACAATAGCTGTGAGCCTTCTGCCTGGGGAACCCCCGCAAAAGGTCCCAACAGGAGTCTGTGGACCGTTGCCAGCAGGGACAATGGGATTACTTTTAGGAAGGTCTAGTTTAAGTTTAAAAGGGGTACAAATATACACTGGAGTCATTGATTCAGATTACAATGAGGAAATTCAAATTGTGATATTTAGTTCTGTTCCCTGGAAAGCACAGCCAGGAGTGCGCATAGCACAGCTCCTGAGTGAGCCGTATGTGGGAATGGGAAAAAGTGAAATTAAATGAACTGGAGGATTTGGAAGCACAAATAAAAAAGGCAAGGCAGCTTATTGGGTAAATCAAATTACTGATAAACATCCTATCTGTGAAATAACTATCCAGGGAAAGAACTTTAAAGGTTTGGTAGATACTATTTTTTTTTGGTAGGAGTGGACATTTCAATTTTTTCTCTATAGCACTGGCCGTCCATGTGGCCAATTCAGCCTACTCAATTTAACACAGTGGAAACTGCTAAAGCTCCAGAAGTGTATCAAAGTAGCTATACTTTGCATTGTGAAGGGCCCGATGGACAACCTGGGACTGTTCAACCAATTGCAACTTCTGTACCTATAAATTAACGGGGGAGAGATTTATTATGACAATGGGGAGCACAAGTTCTAATTCCATAACAATTACACAGCCCTCAAAGTCAACATATGATGCACGAAATGGGGCATGTCCCTGGTATAGGAGTAGAAAAAAAATTGCAAGGTTTGAAAGAACTGCTTCAAACGGAAAGACAAAGTTCCTGCCAAAGATTAGGATACCATTTTTGATGGTGGCCATAGTTAAGTCTCCAGAACCTATACCTTTAAAATGGTTAACAGATAAGCCAATTTGGATAGAATAATGGCTGCTAAGCAAAGAGAAACTGGATGCTTTAGAGAAATTAGTTACTGAACAATTAGAAAATGGGCACATAGCTCCAACATTTTCCCCTTGGAATTCTCCAGTTTTCATAATTAAGAAAAAATCAGGTAAATGGAGAATGTTAACTGACTTAAGAGCCATCAATTCAGTTATACAACCTATGGAAACATAACAGCCAGGATTGCCTTCTCCTACTATAATTCCAAAAAATTGGCCTTTAATAGTCACAGATTTAAAAGACTGTTTCTTTACTACCCTTTTAGCTGAGCTAGACTGTGAACGGTTTGCATTTACAATTCCTGCAGTAAACAACCTGCAGCCTGCTAAGCGTTTTCATTGTTTCACAGATGGGTCTAGTAATGGTAAAGCTTCTTATTCTGGATCAAAAGGTAAAGTTTTCCAGACACCCTATACTTTAGCTCAAAAGGCAGAGCTTGTAGCTGTAATTGAGGTATTGACTGCTTTTGATATGCCTGTTAATGTGATTTCTGATTCTTCATACATGGGTCATTCCACACAGTTAATTGAAAATGCTCAGTTAAGATTTCATACAGATGAACAACTGATAATAAAAACAAAAAAGGGGGAGAAACAGGGATTACGGGATAGCCCATACACAATTGAATCTTGCATTATTAACTTTCAAATTTTTGAGCCTGCCCAAAGGCCAGATGTTGCCAGCAGCTGAACAGCATCTACAGAAACCAGCTGCAAAGACAGAAGCAGAACAACTGGTTTGGTGGAGAGATCCAATAACAAAAAGTTGGGAAATAGGTAAAATTATAACTTGGCATAGAGGTTATGCTTGTGTTTCTCCAGGACCGAATCAACAACTGATTTAGATACCATCAAGACACCTGAAATTTTATCATGAGCCAGATGCTGAGGAAGAGATAAAAAGCACAATCATCACTGAAATTAGAGCTTCTGGCTGGGCGCGGTGGCTCACGCCTGTAATCCCAGCACTCTGGGAGGCCGAGGTGGGCAGATCACAAGGTCAGGAGATCGAGACCATCCTGGCTAACACGGTGAAACCCCGTCTCTACTAAAAATACAAAAAATTAGCTGGGTGAGGTGGCGGGCGCCTATAGTCCCAGCTACTCAGGAGGCTGAGGCAGGAGAATGGCATGAACCCGGGAGTCAAAACTTCAGGTTTTGCCAAGAATGACACTGTAAATGTAACAAAGCTTCTGTGCTTGTTAGCGAACACCAAATCAGCTACTCTCCTGTATTCGGAGATCAGGATGAAATGAAAAGAACAAGCAGGCCGGGCGTGGTGGCTCATGCCTGTAGTGCCAACACTTTGGGAGGCTTAGGTGTGCGGATCACCCGAGGTTGGGAGTTCGAGACCAGCCTGACCAACATGGAGAAACCCCGTCTCTACTAAAAATGCAAAATGAGCTGGGCGTGGTGGCACAAGCTTGTAATCCCAGTTTGGGAGGCTGAGACAGGATAAGTGCTTAAACCTGAGAGGTGGAGGTTGCAGTGAAGCAATATTGCACCATTGCACTCCAGCCTGGGCAACAAGAGTGAAACTCCATCTCAACAAAAATAAAAAATAAAAAAAGACCCCCAGCCTTGTCTAGACTGTGGGGTTTCAGTTTCACCCCAGGGGGGTCCTGGTTGGGTTAGAACCCTGAATCTGGTTTGAGTTCGTATCCTAAAGAATAAAGGGAATAAAGGCTGTAGCCACTGAGCTACTCAATCTGGTCTGGTTCTGGCTTTTGTGTGTCTGTCTGTATTTTTGGTCTAAATATTTGGCCCAACAGAGGTTAAAGGCTTTGATGTTCTCAGCAAAAGCCTTGTGAGATCTCTAGTTTATCTGTGTGCTCAACTGGAACAAAGAGACTCCATAAACTAGAAAAACCTAAAGAAAATGGCACGCGTGAAAAAATGAGAGCCAACTCCTGTTTGTTGTTCTGTCCACCTCCCTCTCTCACTCCTCCTTCTGCCTTTGCTGTGGTCCCATGGTGTTTCTGTCTTTCTGGGGACCTGAGATTCAGTGTAGGAGTGAAGTCCATGATTTTAAAGCCTTCGTGTCTCTGCTTTTTAACTCTGCCTGCTTTGCTGAGCTCTTATAATGAGAAATAAACCATTCAGAACAGAAAAAAACAGGGCATCAGAAAACCAACTTCAGGCAGAGCTCCGGCAAGTACCTCCCTAGAGGGGAAGGGCTTACTAAAGGAGATTTAATCTTGAAAAGGCCAAAATGAGAAGCTCTAACCTTAAGCTTGCTAGGTTTTCTGGGACTCGAGCTGGCTATATATTATGGACCATTCTAGCCACACACATACACACACACACACACACACAAACAGACACACACTTTTTTGAGACAGAGTCTTGCTCTGTTGCCCACGCTGGAGTGCAGTGGTGTGATCTTGGCTCACTGCAACCTCCACTTCCCAGGTTCGAGCAATTCTCCTGTCTCAGCCTCCTGAGTAGCTGCGATTACAGGTGTGCGCCACCATGCCCGGCTAATTTTTGTGGTTTTAGTAGAGATGAGGTTTCACCATGTTGGCCAGGCTGGTCTCAAACTCCTGATCTCAAGTGATCCACCTGCCTTGGCCTCCCAAACTGCTGGGATTACAGGCATGAGCCACTGTGCCCAGCCTATACATATATATATATACATTTTTTTCTTTTTCTTTTTGACGTAGTGTCTTGCTCTGTTGCCCAGGATGGAGTATGGTGGTACAATCGCGGCTCACTGCAACCTCTGCCTCCCAGGTTTGAGTGATTATCCTGCCTCAGCCTCCTGAATAGCTGGGACTACAGGTGCACACCACCACACCCAGTTAATTTTTGTATTTTCAGTAGAGATAGGGTTTTGTCACGTTGGCCAGGCTGGTCTCAAACTCCTGGCCTCAAGTGACCCACCTGCCTCAGCCTCCCATAGTGTTGGGATTACACGCACACTTTAAACCTGATGGCCAAATTACATGAAAGAAAATTCAGAACTCAAATAGTTACTATTTTTAAAAACCCTAAAATGAAAAATTCTCAGTTCTTTTGCCTATCTATTTTTTTTCCCTGCCTACTTTGAATCTGCTGATTTGTCTACTGGTGTTGAGATAAGACTTACTGTCTGTGGTGTTACCAATTCAAGGTTACTTGGCTGAAGAAAAACAAAAGAATGAAACAATTCTTTATTTTTTTTTTCTCTTTTTGAGATAAGGTCTCACTCTAAGGTCTCACTCTGTTCCCCAGACTGGAGTGCAGTAGTGGGATCATAGCTCACTGTTATCTCAAACTCCCAGGCTCAAGCAATCCTCCTGCCTTATCCTCTCTAGTAGCTGGTACAATAGGCATGCACTACCATGCCTGGCAATTTTTTATCTGATTCTTAGTAGAGATTAGGTCTCACTATGTTGCCCAGGCTGGTCTCAAACTCCTGAGCTCAAGTGATCCTCTTGCCTCAGCCTCTCAAAGTGCTGGGATACAGGCATGAACCATTGTGCCCAGATAAAAGATAGTTCTTTTATAAATACAAATAATTTAAAAAGTATTGATAAAATAAAAATAGAAATGTCTTCAGAATTGTCGGCATACATTTTTGACTGTGTTTTATATTTACATTTGCTAGATATTTTAAGGTGCTAGGGTTTGGCATGAAGGTTATAAAACTATAAACACAGGAAAAAAAGAATATTTGTTTATGTGATTTTTTAAATACATAAGACCAATTTAATACGGTTTGTTGAACAAAAATAATGGAATTTTCTGAGTTATTGGTAAAATACCCATGTATTTAACTTTGAAGTCCTCACTTACGTGAACACCTGATATTCACAGGCTATAACATGGTTAACAAGAAAAAAACCTAGAAATGATGACTAGCTTTGTCTAATACCTCAGTTCTCACAAATACTCTAGATAAACTGTCAAAAATAAGTAAATGTAAATGGATAAATGTCTATACAAGACATCTTAATGTATTTTTGAAATTTTTTTGAGACAGTGTCTCTGTCACCCAGGCTGAAGTGCAGTGGCATGATCACAGCTCACTGCAACCTTGACCTCCTGTGCTCAAGGGATCCTCCCACCTCAGCCTCCCAAGAAGCTGTTAATTACAGGCATGCACCACCATGATCAGCTAACTTTTATTTTTTTTTGTAGAGTCAGCATCTCACTATTTTGCTCAGGCTGGTCTCATGATACTCCTGCCTTGGCCTCCTAAAGTGTTGGGATTACAGGTGTGAGCCACCATGCCCAGCCTATTTTTGAAATTTTAGTTATGTTAAATTAAATAATAGATACTCATTAAATATCTGGGTTATTTCCAATTTAAAACTTATGTTTTAGCCCAGGCACTGTGGCTCACGCCTGTAATCCCTGCACTTTGGGAGGCCAAGGTTGGTGGCTCACCCGAGGTCAGGAGCTCAAGACCAGCCTGATCAACATAGTGAAACCCCATCTCTACTAAAAAATACAAAAAATTAGCCAGGTGTGGTGGTGGGTTCCTGTAATCCCAGCTACTTGGGAGGCTGAGGCAGGAGAATTGCTTGAACCTGGGGGACGGAGGTTGCAGTGAGCTTAGATAACACCATTGCACTCCAGCCTGGGCAACAAGAGCGAAAATCCATCTTAAAAAATATGTTTTAGGAACACATAATTCTAAATTATGAAATTATTCTCATATGTAAGATACTGCTATATGACAATTCAAGATTTCTTGCTTCCTAGGTTTTTTCTTAAAATAAGGATTACTAAGTGTTAATATCTTGGTAGATATATGTGATTAAGACTACTAGATACAAGAGAAACAATTCTGTATGCAAAATGTATACCGGTTTTTGTTTCAGAAAAAGTAAATTCGCTTAGAGATTTTTAAGGATTTTTTTAAATTGAAGGAATAAAAAAGATAGATAAAACTAAATGTGTATAAAAAGTTGGGAAAGATGAAAAAATTATACAAGGTTATTAAAAGTTTATGTAAATCTTACATCGAGGTCAAAACTGATTGAGATCAGATAGATTGTTTATAAAGTTTATTTAAATTAGCTGTAATATTAAAAACATAATGATAAAAAACTAAAAATTTTGGTTAAAACAACAAGGTTTTCTTAAGGTATTTATTTGCTCATAATAAGAGGTAATAAATATTGACTTTTAATCCTGAAATCTGTTACTATAAAAACTTTTCAGATTTGTATATCAGAAGTTCAACTTTTCCTGTACTTTCATGTTACACATGACTCACAGATCACATCATTGTCTCCTGTTCCTTCTTGAGAAGGAATAAAAGGTTTGGGTTTCCTGCTTGGCTGCGATGATAACTCCTTCAGATTTTTCATCAGGTCTAATTTTGTACTCTTGGCTTTTAAATATGTCTTAATTACTTCATGTAACCAGGAAACTTCCATGCTATCATTGTGAGCTATGGATCCCCACTGCTCTATGCTCTGGTTTTCCTGTTTACATTCCTTTGTAATATTATGCTCACTCATGACCCTGGACACACTCTTTCTATGTCTAATTAAATTCAAGTCTCCTTATCATCGGAATTGACTTCCAAGTGATTTAAATTAGCTTCCCGTAAGAAGACACAGTTATGCCACAGGAGTTTTACCCTTTAAATGACTGGCCTGTAATAAAGATTTTAGGTTTTATCAAGGTAATCCATGTGTTGCCTTTATTTTTTTTTAATTACTTGGGAAAACTGAGGGTTTTCAGTTTTCACATCCATGTAACCTTCTATGTTGCTTTTGATATCTTTTGGTTGTCTTGCTAATTAAATGAATGACTGTTATTTAAAAATGACATGTGGCTGTGTGCAGCGGCTCATGTCTGTAATTCCAGCCCTTTGGGAGGCCAAGGTGGGTGGATCACTTGAGCCCAGGAGTTCAAGTCCAGCCTGGGCAAAATGGCAAAACCCCATCTCTACTAAAAATACAAAAGCTAGCTAGGTGTGGTAGCAAGTGCTCATAGTCCTGGCTACTTGGGAGACTAAGGTGGATGATCACCTGAGCCTGGGAGGTTGAGGCTGCATTGAGCCATGATTTCACCACTGCACTCCAGCCTGGGCAATAGGGTGAGACCCTGTCTCAAATATATAATAAAATAAAAAACAATAAACTGTCATTCTGTTTTGGTCAAATGTTTTCAATTTTTTTACATCTTTGCTAAAATTTAGTTGATAACTTTGTATGGGAAGCATTGCCAAAAGATGAGTCTAAATCTTCTTTTTTTTTTCTCTGAGACAGAATCTTGCTTTGTCACCCAGGCTGGAGTGCAGTGGCGTGATCTAGGTTCACTGCAACCTCTGCCCCAAGGTTCAAGCGATTCTCCTGCCTCAACCTCCCAAGTAGCTGGGACTACAGACACATGCCACCATGCCCGGCTAATTTTGTATTTTTAGTAGAGACAAGATTTCTCCATGTTGGCGAGGCTGGTGTTGAAGTCCTGACCTCTGATGATCTGTCCAACTTGGCCTCCCAAAGTGTTGGAATTACAGGCATGAGCCACTGTGCCTGGTCTAAATCTTCTTTTGGTTACATTTATAGGTATATTATTAATATAAATATTTTAAATGTTATATAAATTATAAAAATCTAATATGGTATCAGTCATAATTTTGATGATGTTAAATATTCTGTAAAGTTGTATATGTATAGATATATTATTAATATAAATATTCTAAAGATTATACAAAATTTGTGGAAGTCTGATGGATCTGATGTGTTGCCGTCAGTCATGATTCTGGCTTTTATCTTAAAATGCGACATATAATAGAAATAACTAAATTTTCTCTCCAGTTGAGAACTTCCACTGGATTTTAACCAAAGGATATTCTAAGTTTTTTTCATCCACGGTGATTGTTTAAAGTTCTTCTCTAAAACCCTTTACAGGCCAGGCATGCTGCTGGAGGCTGTGCAGGGCACGGTGCTGGGCATGGTGCAGGGCATGGTGGCTCATGCGTGTAAAAATCCCAGCACTTTGCAAGGCCGAGGTGGGTGAATTGCTTGAACTCAGAAGTTGAAAGCATCCTGGGCAACATGGTAAAACCCTGTCTCTACAAAAATACAAAAATTAGCCAGCATGATGGTGCATGCCTATGGTCCCAGCTACTTTGGAGGCTGAGGTAGGAGGATGGCTTGAGTTTAGCAGGGAGAGATTGCGGTGAGCCAAGATCATGCCACTGCACTCTATCCTGAGTGATAGAGCCAGACAATGTCTCAAAAAAAAAAAAAAGCCTTTACAATCAGCTATCATCTAAATTACTTTTAATGGAAAGGACTCTGACAAGTTCTCTTAAATATGGTCTCAGATAACTTTGGGGATCATTCTGTTGGACTAGGAAAATCTTCCAGGACTCTAAAAAGCTGAATGAGAATTTCCAATTGAAATCAAGCAAAACACAAAAAACTGAATGAGAATTGCTATTTGAAATCAAGCAGAACAAGATTTAGTTACATGGGACTGAACTTATAAAAGAAGGAAAAGATTTTATTCATGGCCCTTCCATAGGAAACATTGTTGATTCTCTTTACGTTTTGTTTTCCAAAGTCAAGAATTTTTTTCTTTTCAGCTATTTTTAACTTACCATACATTAGATAAACTACATTGTGAACAAAAATTTGAGCCATTTATCTGTCTCTCTAACTGATTTCTCCAGAATTCAGAAGCCATTCGTGAGCATTCCTAAATTATGGCAATATAATTATTTGCATAATTTCAATAAGAATCTGTTTTTGGTAACAGGATTCAATTGGAGACACTTTGTTTTATCAAGGCTTTAACTCGAACGGCAGATACAACCAGACCACTTTAAGGAATTGAGGTTGACTCTATAGCACCAATACAAAGCCCCTTAGAATGACTGGCTTGGTGTCCTGTCTACAAGGGTCCTTTAGAAAGTTGCTGTCCTTGTGGTAAGAAGTAAAGAATGTCAATTTCTGACGGGCCCAGGAACCTTAAGTTATTTGGGGAGCTTGAGAAGAGAGGACTACACCAATTCATAAAAGTATTACAGGAGGGCTGGCAAGATGTCTGAATAGGAACAGCTCCGGCCTGCAGCACCCAATGAGATCAACACAGAAGGCAGGTGGTTCATGCATTTCCAACAGCCTCCACTGGTGATACCCATGCAAACAGGGTCTGGAGTGGACCTCCAGCATCTCGAGCAAACCTGCAGCAGAGGGACCTGACTGTTAGAAGGAAAACTAACAAACAGAAAGGAATAGTCTCAACATCACCAACATCAAAGAACAAAGGTAAATAAATCCACAAAGATGGGGAGAAACCAGTGCAAAAAGGCTGAAAACTCCAAAAGCCAGAATGCCTCTTCTCCTCCAGAAGATCACAACTCCCCACCAGCAAGGGAACAAAACTGGACAGACAATGAGTTTGATGAATTGACAGAAGTAGGCTTCAGAAGGCGGGTAATAACAAACTCCTCCGAGCTAAAGGAGCATGTTCTAACCCAATGCAAGGAAGCTAAGAGCCTGAAAAAAAAAGGTAGGACGAATTGTAAACTAGAATAACCGGTTTAGAGAAGAATATAAATGACCTGATGGAGCTGAAAAACCGAGCACAAGAACTTAATGAAGCATACACAAGTATCAATAGCTGAATCAATCAAGCAGGAGAAAGGATATCAGAGATTGAAGATCAACTCAATGAAATAAAGCAAGAAGACAAGATTAGAGAAAAAAGAGTGAAAGAAATGAACAAAGCCTCCAAGAAATAGAGGACTATGTTAAAAGACTGAATCTATGTTTGATTCGTGTACTTGAAAGTGACAGAGAGAATGGAACCAAGTTGGAAAACACTCTCAACTATATTATCCAGGAGAACTTCCCCAACCTAGCAAGACAGGCCAACATTCAAATTCAGGAAATACAGAGAACACCACTAAGATACTCCTGAAGAAGAGCAACCCCAAGACACAAAATCATCAGATTCACCAAGGTTGAAATGAAGGAAAAAATATTAAGGGCAGCCAGAGAGAAAGGTTGAGTTACCCACAAAGGGAAGCCCATCAGACTAACAGTGGATCTCTTGGCAGAAAGCCTACAAGCCAGAAGACAGTGGGGGCCAATATACAACATTCCTAAAGAAAAGAATTTTCAAGCCAGAATTTCATATCCAGCCAAACTAAGCTTCATAATTGAAGGAGAAATAAAATCCTTTACAAGCAAATGCTGAGAGATATTGTCACCACCAGGCCTGCCTTACAAGAGCTTCTGAAGGAAGCACTAAACACGGAAAGGAACAACTGGTAACAGCCACTGCAAAAACATACCAAATTATAAAGACCATTGACACTATGAAAAAATTGCATCAACTAATGAGCAAAATAACCAGCTAGTATCTTAATGACAGGATCAAATTCATACATAACAATATTAACCTTAAATGTAAATGAGCTAAATGCCCCCAATTGAAAGACACAGACTGGCAAATTGGATAAAGAGTCAAGACCCATCAATGTGCTGTACTCAGGAGACCCATCTCATACACATAGGCTCAAAATAAAGGGATGGAGGAACATTTACCAAGCAAGTGGAAAGCAACAAAAGGCAGGGGTTGCAATCCTAGCTTCTGATAAAACAGATCTTAAGCCAACAAAGATCAAAAGAGACAAAGAAGGCGTTACATAATGGTAAAGGGATCAATGCAACAAGAAGAGCTAACTATCCTAGACATATATGCACCCAATACAGGAGCACTCACATTCATAAAGCAAGTTCTTAAAGACCTACAAAGAGACTTAAACTCCCACACAATAATAGTGGGAGACTTTAACACTCCACTGTCAATATTAGATCAATGAGACAGAAAATTAACAATAATATCCAGGACTTGAACTCAGTTCTGGACCAAGTGGACCTAAAAGATCTCTACAGAACTCTCCACCGCAAATCAACAGAATATACCTTCTTCTCAGCACCACGTTGCACTTATTCTAAAATTGACCACATAATTGGAAGTAAAACTCTCCTCAGGAAATGCAAAAGAATTGAAATCATAACAAAGAGTCTCTCAGACCACAATGCATTCAAATTAGTATGCAGGATTTAGAAACTCACTCAAAACCTCACAACTACATGGAAACTGGGTGACCTGCTCCTGAATGACTACTGGGTAAATAACTAAATGAAGGCAGAAATAAAGATGTTCTTCAATCCAATGAAAACAAAGACACAACGTCCCAGAATCTCTGGGACACATTTAAAGCAGTGTGTAGAGGGAAAATTTATAGCACTAAATGTCCACAAGAGAAAGCAGGAAAGATCTAAAATTGACACCTTAACATCAAAATTAAAAGAACTAGAGAAGCAAGAACAAATTCAAAAGCTAACAGGAGACAAGACACAAATAAGATCAGAGCAGAATTGAAGGAGATAGAGACACGAAAAACCCTTCAAAAAATCAATGAATCCAGGAGCTGGTTTTTTGAAAAGATCAACAAAACAGACCACTAGCCAGACTAATAAAGAAGAAAAGAGAGAAGAATCAAATAGATGCAATAAAACATGATTAAGGGGATATCACCACTGATCCCACAGAAATACAAATTATCATCAGAGAATACTACAAAGACTAAACCAGGAAGAAGTGAAATTCCTGAATAGACCAATAACAAGTTCTGAAAATGAGGCATTAATTATAGCCTACCAACCAAAAAAATTCCAGGACCAGATGGATTCACAGCCGAATTCTATGAGAGGTACAAAGAGGAGCTGGTACCATTCCTTCTGAAACTATTCCAAACAACAGAAAAAGAGAGAATCCTCCCTAACTCATTTTATGAGGTCAGCATCACCTTGATACCAAAACCTCACAGGGACACAACAAAAAAAGAAAATTTTAGGCCAATATCCCTGATGAGCATCGATGCAGAAATCCTGGATAAAATACTGGAAAACTGAATCCAGCAGCACATCAAAAAGCTTGTCCACCATGATCAAGTCAGCTTCACCCCTGGGATGCAAGGATGGTTCAACATATGCAAATCAATAAATGTAATCCATCACATAAAGGGAACAAATGACAAAAACTGCATGATTATCTCAATAGATGCAGAAAGGGCCTTTGACAAAATTCAACAGCCCTTCATGCTAAAAACTCTCAATAAACTGGTATTGATGGAACATATCTCAAAATAGTAAGTGCTATTTATGACAAGCCCACAGCCAACAACATACTGAATGTGCAAAAACTGGAAGCATTCCCTTTGAAAATCAGCACAAGACAAGGATGCCCTCTCTCACTACTCCTATTCAACATAGTATTGGAAGTTCTGGCCAGGGCAATCAGGCAAGAGAAAGAAATAAAGGGTATTCAATTAGGAAAAGAGGAAGTCAAACGGTCTCTGTTTGCAGATGACATGATTGTATATTTAGAAAACCCCATCATCTCCGCCCAAAATCTCCTTAAGCTGATAAGCAACTTCAGCAAAGTTTCAGGATACAAAATCAATGTGCAAAAATCACAAGCATTCCTATACAGCAATAACAGACAAACAGAGAGCCAAACTGTGAGTGAACTCCCATTCACCATTGCTATAAAAAGAATGAAATACCTAGGAATGCAACTGACAAGGATGTGAAGGACCTCTTCAAGGAGAACTACAAACCACTCCTCAAGGAAATAAGAGAGGACACAAACAAATGGAAAATCATTCCATGCTCATAGATAGGAAGAATCAGTATCATGAAAGTGGACATACTGCCCAAAGTAATTTATAGATTCACTGCTATCCCCATTAAACTACCATTGACTTTCTCCACGGAATTGGAAAAATATACTTTAAATTTCATATGGAATCAAAAAAGAGCCCAAATAGCCAAGACAATCCTAACCAAAAAGAACAAAGCTGGAAGCATCATGGTACCTGACTTCAAATTATACTACAAGCTACAGTAACCAAAACAGCATGGTGCTGTTACCAAAACAAATATATAGATCAAAGGAACAGAACAGAGGCCTCAGAATTAACACCACACATCTACAACCATCTGATCTTTGACAAACCTCAGAAAAACAATCACTGGGGAAAGGATTCCCTATTTAATAAATGGTGTTGGGAAAACTGGCTAGCCATAGGCAGAAAGCTGAAACTGGATCCTTTCCTTACACCTTATACAAAAATTAACTCAAGATGGGTTAAAGACTTAAACATAAGACCTAAAGCCATAAAAACCGTAGAGGAAAACCTACGCAATACCATTCAGGACATAAGCATGGGCAAAGACTTCCTGACTAAAACACCAAAAACAAAGGCAACAAAAGCCAAAATTGACAAATGGGACCTAATTAAACTAAAGAGCTTCTGGACAGAAAAAGAAACTATCAGAATGAATGGGCAACCTACAAAATGGGAGAAAATTTTTGCAATCTATCCATCTGACAAAGGGCTAATATCCAGACTCTACAAAGAACTTAAACAAATTTACAAGATAAAACAACCCCATTGAAAAGTGGGCGAAGGATGTGAACAGACACTTCTCAAAAGAGGACAATTATGCAACCAACAAACTTATGAAAAAAAAAAGCTCAACTTCACTAGTCATTAGAGAAATGCAAATCAAAACCACAATGAGATACCATCTCATGCCAGTTAGAGTGGCGATCATTAAAGAGTCAGGAAACAACAGGTACTGGAGAGGGTGTGGAGAAATAGGAAGGCTTTTACACTGTTGGTGGGAGTGTAAATTAGTTCAACCATTGTGGAAGACAGTGTGGCTATTCCTCAAGGATCTAGAACTAGAAATACCATTTGGCCCAGCAATCCCATTACTGGGTATATACCCAAAGGATTATAAATCATTCTACTATAAAGACACATGCACATGTATGTTTATTGCAGGACTGTTCACAATAACAAAGACTTGGAACCAACCCAAATGCCCATCAATGATAGACTGAATAAAGAAAATGTGGCACATATACACCATGGAATACTATGCAGCCATAAAAAAGGATGAGTTCATGTCCTTTGCAGGGACATGGAAGAAGCTGGAAACCATCATTCTCGGCAAACTAACACAAGAACAGAAAACCAAACACCACATGTTCTCACTCATAAGTGGGAGTTGAACAATGAGAACACATGGACACAGGGAGGGGAACATCACCCACTGGGGCCTGTTGGGGGGTGGGGGAAGGGGGAGGAATAGCATTAGGAGAAATGTCTAATATAGGTAATGGGTTGATGAGTGCAGCAAACCACCACAGAATATATATACCTATGTAACAAACCTGCACTTTCGGCACATGTACCCCAGAACTTAAAGTATAATTTTAAAAAGTAGGTTAAAAAAGTATTACAGACACAGTCTGATGCAAATCTTTGACTTGGCTAGCGTCAAGGCTCTTAAAAGTCTAAGATTCCTTATTTCAAATTTCCAACAAAGCCAATTTTAAGAAGCCTGTATGGCCAATAAATATTCTTGCTGCACTTTATGGAAATAATCAGGCCAGGTATGATAAGACTAAAACTTATTTTGCATACAAAATTGGTCCTACTATGATTTGTCTTTGATAATATGATGGACTAGAGAAAATTTGTGTTCCAAAAGAAAACTATGACATATGCTATTAGATTCCAACCCTGATCATTGTTTTAGAGTTTTTATTATTTGCCTATAATTTGGGCTGAATCCTGAATTATTTCCTGGCTCCAAGTGTTCCCTAGTGAATCTGAATATAATATATTTTTAAAAACTTCTCTTATCCTGTCAAGAATGAGATGTATTTTTTGAAGGACTACTTAAACTAGCAATTACAATTCGATTATTATGATTATAGAATCTCGGGATTTCTCTTCCTTCTTGTCAAGGTCTTTACCTGATGTTTGTCTCATTAAAAAAAAAATGAGACTGATTACACTCTACTCAAGACTGAAGACATGTACTTTAACCTGTCTCTGTTACCAGTAAACCAAAGCCTTAACTTTCAGAATCTGTCAGGGACACTGTGTGGTCCCTGGATCAACCACCCATGGGCTTATGAATGTGTTGACCGCTGGCATATGAGAAGTAATTGTCTATTAGGTTATGTGACTCTTCCTCTTTCTATTTATAACTCCAATGTTTCTGAACACTGAAGTAATTCATCGAAATTACTTTCCAGGATTAGACAAACCATACCTGCACACCAAGGAGATGAATTTTGGCCTATGTTTGGCAGAAGTCACTTGCAATGGTGGGGAGTAACCTCTCATGAACGTATAATTAGAAATCTGTCAACCAACCACTCTAGGTAACTTAGCAAATGAACTAGCTGAAGCCATAGCTACCAAACAAAGATCTTTAGACTCTTTAGCCAGGATAGTCATGGATGATTGAATAACTTTAGGCTACATAGTGGTGAAACAGGGAGAAATTCATATGGCAGCTAGCTAACACATCATGTTGTGTTTAGATCCATGCATCTTCTGAAGTTGAAACACATGTAAAAAAATAAGACAATATGAGAATTAATTATGACAAATCCTAGGGAAGAGGCTGAAAGAGCTGTAACACAAAAGGGCTGAGACATGCCCCTTGCTAGCCACATTGTGGGCAAAGAGAAGGAAAGAAGAGCTGTGACCCTTTGGGAAGCCCAGACCTGGGAGCTCCCCGAGCCAGGGCTGTGATTCCCTCTTTGGGGCCCTGTGGTTCCTGGTATCTCCAAGCTTCTGGGTGCCACTGTGTTCCCAGTGTGCCAGCTGTGGAAGCTGCTTGCGGTGCCCGTGGTCCAGCCACAGACTTGTGGAGAGCTGGTACTCATGTTGGCACCTGGAGTTACCTGCCCCACTGCAGCAGCCAGGAAGTCTGACTGCACAGTGGCCAGACCCCATGCTTGCTCACACGCCCCTTGCCACTCCGCGCAGTCTCCCTTGGCAAACATGGGATCCAACCTGGTAGCATGAGCTGAGCACAGCCTGCCAGGCTGAGTGGGCGGGGCCCAAGCAAAACTCAGGTAAAGGTGCCACCAGCCATAGAGTTTTCTGTCCAGAAAAGTGACACTCCAAAGATCCCGTAACACCGCTACTCTTCCCAACCTCTGGAAACTCTCAGTCTACTCTCTATCTTGATGAGTTCAATTGTTTTAATTTTTAGCTCCCACAAATGTGTGAGAACATGCAAAGTCTTTCTGTGCCTGGCTCATTGTACTTAACATAATGTCCCCTAGTTCCATCCACGTTGTTGCAAATGACAGAATCTTATTCTTTTTCATGGCCGAAGAGTACTCCATTGTGTACATGTACTACATTTTCTTTATCCCTTCATCTGTTGATGCACACTTAGGTTGCTTCCAAATCTTGGCTATTATGAATAGTGCTGAAATAAATATGGGAATGCAGATAACTCTTTGATATACTAATTTTCCCTCCCTTGGGTATATACCCAGCATTGCTGGGTTGCTGCATTGCAGGATTGCTGTATCATATGATAGTTCTATTTTTAATTTTTTGAGGGACCTCCATATTGTTCTCCATAGTGAATGTACTAATTTACATTCCCACCAACAGAGTAAGAGGGTTCTCTTTTCCCCACATTCTTGCAAGCATTTGTTATTGCCTCTCTTTTGCATAAAAGCCATTTTAATGGGGGTAAGATGATATCTTATTGTAGTTTTGATTTGAAATGCTCTGATGATCAATGATATTGAGCACCGTTTCATATACCTATTTGACATTTATATATCTTCTTTTTTGTTTTTTCTCATTTTTTGAGACAGGGTCTCACTCTGTCACCCAGGCTGGAGTGCAGTGGTATGATGATGGCTTACTGTAGTTTTGACTACCAGGGTTCAAGCAATCCTCCCACCTCAGCCTCCTGAGTAGCTAGGACCACAGGCATGCATCACCATGCCCAGATTGTTTTTAAAATTATTTGCTATGTTTTTCAGGTTGGTCTTGAACTCCTGGGCTCAAGTGGTCCACCTGTCTTGGCTCCCCAAAATGCTGGAATTACAGGTGAGAGCCACCGCGCCTGACCTGTGTGCCTTCTTTTGAGAAATGTCTGTTCAGGTTTTTTGCCCATTTAAATAATTGGATTATTAGTTTTTTTTCTTATAGAGTTGTTTGAACTCCTTATATATTCTGGTTATTAATCCCTTGTCAGATATATAGTTTGCAAATATTTTCTTCCATTCTGTGGATTGTCTTTTCACTTTGTCCATTGTTTTCTTTACTATGCAGAAACTTTTGAACTTCATGTGATACCATTTGTTCATTTCTGCTTTGGTTGCCTGGGCTTTTGGGGTATTACTCAAGAAATCTTTGCCCAGACCAATTTTCTGGAGAGTTTCCCTAATGTTTTCTTTCACTAGTTTCTTGTCCTTGATTTAAGTCTTTAACCCATTTGGATTTGATTTTTGTATATAACGCAAGACAGGGTTCTAGTTTAATTATTCTGCCAATGACTTTGGGAGGCTGAGGTGGGCAGATCATGAGGGCAGGATATCGAGACAATCCTGGCTAACACAGTGAAACTCCGTCTCTACTAAAAATACAAAAAAAAAATTAGCTGGGTGTGGTGGGGGCACCTGTACTCCCAGCTACTTGGGAGGCTGAGGAGGAGAATGGTGTGAACCAGGGAGGTGGAGCTTGCAGTGAGCCCAGATCGTGCCACTGCACTGCAGCCTGAGCAACAGAGCTAGACTCCATCTCAAAAAAAAAAATTATTCTGCCAATGAATATCTAGTTTTCCCAGCACAATTTGTTGAAGAGACTGTCCTCTCCCCCATGTATATTCTTGGAATCTTCATTGAAAGTGAGTTATTTGTAAATGTAAGGATTTATTTCTGGGTTCTCTATTCTGTTCCATTGGTCTATGTGTCTGTTTTATGCCAGTATCATGCTGCTTTGTTTACAATTGCCCTGTAGTATAATTTAACGTCAGGTGATGTGATTCTTCCAGTTTTGTTCTTTTTGCTAAGGATGGCTTTGGGTATTCTGGGTCTTTTATGATTTCATATAAATTTTAGTATTTTTTTTTCTGTTTCTGTGAAGAATGTTATTAGTATTTCAATAGGGATTGCATTGAATCTGTAGATTGCTTTGTGAAGTATGTGTATTTTAACAATATTTACTCTTCCATTCAATGAACATGGACTATCTTTCCATTTTTTTGGTGTCTTCTTTAATTTTTTTTCATTGGTGTTCTATAGTTTTCATCGTAGAGATCTTTCACTTCTTTTGTTACATTTATTCCTAGATTTTTTATTTTATTTGTAGCTATTGTAAATGGGAGTATGTACTTTATTTTCTGCTTTAGATTGTTCATTTTTGGCATTTAGAAATGCTACTGAGTTTTGTATTTTGATTTTGTATCGTGTGACTCTGAATTTGTTAATCAGTTCTAATAGCTTTTTGGTGGAGTCCTTAGGTTCTTCCAAATATAAGATCAAATCAACTGCAAACAAGAAAACAATAATAATTTTACTTCTTTCAATTTGGATGCCCTTTATTGTTTTTCACTTTTCTGGATTGCTTTAGCTAGGACTTCCAGTACTATGTTGAGTAACAGTGTTGGAAGTGGACATTCTTGCCTTGTTCCAGATCTTAGAAGAAAGGCTTTCAGGTTATCTCTGTTCAGGATGATACTGGCTGTTGGTCTGTTGCATATGGTTTTTATTGTGTTGTGGTATGTTCCTTCTAAATCTAGCTTTTTTTTAGGGTTTATTTTTATCACAGGGATGTTGGATTTTATTAAATGCTTTTCAGCATCAGTTGAAATTACCATATGGTTTTTGTCCTTCATTCTGTTGATATGATGTGTCACATTGATTGATTTGCATATGTTGAACCATGTTGGCATTCTTGAGGTAAATCCCACTTAGACATGATGAATGGTCTTTTTCATAGAATGAGTATGGAAATACTACAGCCTTCTTTGTTTTTTGGAATAGTTTGAGTAGGATTGATAGTAAGTCTTCCTTCGATGTTTGGTAAAATTAATCAGTGAAGCCATTGGATCCAGGCTTTTCTTTGCTAGGAGATGTTTTATTATGGGTTCAATCTCATTTATCCATTTCTTCTAGGTTTGTTTTTTGGTTGTTTTTGGTTTATTGTGGGTTTTTTTGTTTTTGTTTTTGTTTTGTTTTGTTTTTTTTTTTGAGATGGAGTCTTGCTCTGTCACCCAGGATGGAGCTTGATACAATCTCAGCTCACTGCAACTTCTGCCTCCCAGGTTCAAGTGATTCTCCTGCCTCAGCCTCAGGAGTAGCTGGGAGTAGAGGTGCACACCACCATGCCTGACTAATTTTTGTATTTTTAGTAGAGATGGGGTTTCACCATGTTGGCCAGGCTGGTCTTGAACTCCTGACCTCAGATGATCACCTGCCTTGTCCTCTCAAAGTGTTGGGATTACAGGCATGGGCCACGGTGCCTGGCCATTACTTGCAGGTTTTTCAATTTATTGGAATATAGTTGGTCATAGTAGTTTCTAATGATTCTTTGAATTTCTGCAGTATCTGTTGTAGTGTCTCCTTTTTAATCTCTGGTTTTATGTATTTGAGTCTTCTCTCTTTTCTCTTAGTCTGGCTAAATGTTTGTTGATTTTGCTGATCTTTTAAAAAATATTAACTTTTCATTTCATTGATATTTTATATTTTTAAATTTCAATTTCATTTATTTCTGCTCTGATCTTTGCTATGTTTCCTTCTACTAATTTTGGTTTTGGTTTGCTCTTGCTTTTCTAATTATTTAAGATGCATTATTAGGTTGTTTATTTGAAGTTTTTCTACTTTTTTTGATGTAGATGCTTTTTGCTATAAACTTACTCCTTAGTACTGTTTTTGCTGTATCCCATGGTTTGTTTTTTGTTTTTTTGTTTTTGTCTTTTTTTTTTTTTGAGACAGAATCTCTCTCTGTTGCCCAGGCTGGAGTGCAGTGGCTCAATCTTGGCTTACTACAAGCTCTGCCTTCTGGGTTCATGCCATTCTCCCGCCTGAGCCTCCCGAGTAGCTGGGACTACAGGTGCCCGCCACCATGCCCGGCTAATTTTTGTTTTTTGTATTTTTAGTAGAGACAGGGTTTCACCGTGTTAGCCAGGATGGTCTCGATCTCCTGACCTCGTGATCCGCCCGACTCGGCCTCCCAAAGTGCTGGGATTACAGGTATGAGCCACTTCGCCCGGCCTGTATCCCATAGGGTTTGGTTTGACTTTAAAGTTTTTCTTTTCTCAAAAACTCAGTGTCGTGGTACCGGCTTCTAGTGCTCTGGGCAGTGAGACCCTTTTACTTGATAACTGGTAGCTGGGACAACTTGGCAATATAAATAAATAAACGGCATCTAGATTGAAAAGGAAGAAGTACAGTTATCTTTATGTACAGATGACATGATCTTGCATTTAGAAAATCATAAGAAATTTACTAAAAAGTGTTAGGACTCATTAACAAATTTAGGAATGTAACACTATGTAAGATTGGTATACAAAAATAACTGTATTTCTTTACCAAGAAATCAAGAATCCAAAAATGGAATTACAAAATAAATCTTGTTACAATAGAATTAAAGCTGGGGTAACTTTAACATAAGAAGCTTAAACTTGAACACTAAAAACATGGTTAGTGTTGGAAACACCCAGGTACCATCCCTGAGCCTTCTCTCCTTGGCTCTGAGGACTTTACCTTCATGGGGTGAGGAAAGGGGTTGCATTCTTGGCTTTTACATAATATTAGGTGGGTTCAGGGTGAGGTATCTGCAAGTCAAATGAGTATTACAATCTCTACTTTTATGTATAAGAGACTGAGGACCACAAAGAGAGGGAATGACAATCCATATCCTGGAAGGCGAATTGTCAGGCACTGATTTCCCCTATGTAACCCCTGCCAGTCATCGTGTATTCAAAGGGTCCCCAGATACCTTACCAATAGGTGTTCAAGAGAGAGGCCTGTAATCTAGGCTTCTGAGAAAACAAGGCTAGAGATTCCAATATTGGAGAAAACAGGGCTCTGGGAAGATTAAGGTTGAGTTTTCTGGATCTGCGGAATAGAGTCACTGAGGACCAATTGCAAGATCAGAGGAGATGAAAGAACAAGTCAGGTCATGCTTAGGAAAAGAGAATACCAGGGATAGGTTTTAGGCAAGAGTCACACTGAGGAAGGGCAGGTTCTTGGCATCGCTCAGGAAGGAATCCAAAAGCAAGCCTGTGGTGGAAGAAAGCAGCTCTACAGAGGCACTGGCGGTGTTACAGCCCTGCTTCTGCTCCTGCAGGGCAGGGAGCCCTCCGTGGGTTGTGCTCCCAGAGTAGCAGCCTAGGGGTGGCTTGCAGTCATTTTTATATTTCACTTTTAATGGCATGCTAATTAAGGGGAGGGTTATTCAGAAATAGCTAGAAATGGGTAGTAACTTCCAGCTGTTTCCATGGCAAGGGTTGGGGACTTCCCGTGCTGCCATGGCATTGGCAAACTGTCATGGCACTGGTGGGAGCATCTTCTGGTGATCTGAGGCCTGAAGTGATTTCGCTGTCTCTCCCAGTTTCATGCGTGCCTCTTACCTGAAAGCCCTTCACACCCCCATCTACCCACCTACAAAGTTCACTGCCCTTTCACCCCACCCCCGTTTCACACTCACTCTCACATCAACCCTGAGCATTCAAGCCTGCGTTTCCCTGTTAGGAACCTCGGTGGTAGCCGGGGTTCTGAGAAAACCCTAGGCAGAACGCCTTGCCTAGTTTGTGGCAGAAATCAGGGAAGGAAAGACAAATTTCAGGTCTTTCTCACAATAAATAAATAAAGATAGGGAGATTTGATTGATGGATAGATGAAACGTGGGAGTTTACGGGCAAATATTTATCAGACACTGGAAGTGTAAGTTGTCACAAAGATTATGGAGTGCACCTGTCTTATGACGCTGTTAACACTAGAAAATATTTTCTAAATGTGTAAATTGAAGGCTCACAAATTAGTTAAGTGAGAGAAAAGATAACGGATTGGAAGAGAATTACCATATTCATTAGGTGTGTTTTTAAAATTTTAAAGTAAAATAGAGACATGATTTTTTTCACACTTTCGAATGCATCTATAAAAAATAGACTTGAGGGCTGGGCGCAGTGGCTCACGCCTGTAATTCCAGCACTTTGGGAGGCCGAGGAGGGCGGATCACGAGGTCAGGAGTTGGAGACCAGCCTGACGAACATGGTGAAAACCCGTCTCTACTAAAAATACAAAAACTAGGCAAGCGTGGTGGCGCGCCTGTAATCCCAACTACTCAGGAGGCTGAGGCAGGAGAATCGCTTGAACCCGGGAAGCGGTGGTTGCAGTGAGCCGAGATCGCACCATTGCACTCCAGCCTGGGCGACAGAGTGAGACTCCGTCTCAAAAAAAAAAAAAAAAAAGTTACTCATTAATAGCATAGACCAATTGGCCTCTATTGAAATTTCTCCATTATTTTCACAATGTCCCAGGCTGTGAAATCAGGATTTAATAAAGAACCAGAATGCCATATCTGTGTCACCTGGGTAGGGACCAGTCCTGATCCATTAAGTCCGGGTCTCTGGGTAACTGGACTCAACTGCTGGACTAAACAGAATGTCCGGCGTGGGTTCCTAACCGGGCACCACAGAACCTCATGAGAAATGTAGTGTCACTTTCCAACGATGTTACCATCAAGGACTTTGGGAACCAGCTTTTCTCTCTGCGCATGCGCCGCCCGGCCCACTCCGCCATTTTCATCCGGAAGTGCGTCACCCAGAGGCGGTCTTGTAGCGGGGCCGGCTTGGGGCTTGGTTCTATGTCCCTGCGGGTCGGTGCGAGGGCGAAGAGGAACCCGTGGGCCTCGGGGGATCCCGGGGGGCCGGACCAGTGTCCCCTAGTTGTGGGAGCAGACGCGTGGGCGCATCGCGGGCGGGCAGGGCCTGAAGTGCAGGTGCGGGCAGCGGACCCTGGCGGGGGCTGGGAGGACAGGCGTGGGGTCCCGGCAGTGAAGCGGGTTCTAGAGGCGCAGGAGCGGGTAGGCGAGGCCGGTGGCCCTGGGCCCGGAGTCTGCAGGCCGCGCTCCTGTCCTGCCGCTGAGGGACCCGGTTACCAACCCGCATGACGCTCAGTTTGCCCATCTCTCCCAGTGCTAACACACAGTTCTCGGGAGACGTTCCCCATTCCCAGAGGAGTAGTGCGAAATGCGTGCGCCTCTAGTCTTAAACTTGGCGTTTGTATTAGTTGGGTTTCCTGGTGTCTCTTTAGCAAGTGAAGTTTCTGGTTCCCTCCTTCACTGTGTGACCTGCCTAGTCCTCCTGGGTTGCATTTACAGAAGTTTATACGAGACCTAGTTTCCAGGGAAGAACTCACTGATTCCGCGAGGGAGATGGCATAATGGATGATGGTCTTCAGCCTTAAGGGTACTTCAGTCTTAACTGTGTGTTACAAAGTTTGAAAGAGAGGGTTCCCTATGAATAAGAAGCGCACTTGAAAGAACAGCTGTCTGGTCTAACCTCTCACTGGTGCTTCAGAGGAGGAAAAAAGGTCACAGGTGAGGATCCCAGTTTTCCTCGCTCAGGAAATATTAATTCTACTCCCTAGAATGCACAAGATTTGCAAAGACTAGGTGATAGTAGAAGGTTTGGACGAACTTTCAGAAGGTTGAGGTGTATTCCGCTGAGAAGAACAGGCAAGGACCTAGGAAATATTCCTTATTTGAAGGGGTCTGAAAGTGTGGTCCGGGGTACAGGAGTGACCTGTCATACTTGAGAAGATTAAAATACTCTCCAAACACAGTCCCATTCCTTCAACCTTAGCTCGTTTTTCCCAGCGTCTGAGATATATTAAACCTAGTCCATCCCCAAATTTAGCATTAGATTGCGAAGTTCTATTGATTGTATTTGATTTGTAATTTAAGATTTTCTCCCCCTACGTAATTTTGTTAAAAACACAGAAGTGAATTCTGTTCACTTAGGTGTAACAGTTAATACTTGCTGTTTAAGGAACTAATTAAACCTTACTGGCTTATAAAAAACAAACACCATTTTATTTGTTTGAAGTTCTGTGGATCTGCATTTTGGTGTGGTGGGTTCAGCTGGGTAGTTGATATATTTGTGTTGCCTGGATCACAAAAAGTCCTTAGTCACCTGGTGCCTTTACTGAGCCTGGTTGGTTTAAGATAGTTTCCTTCACAATCTGGTGGTTTGTGGTGACTCTTGGCTAGGCCCTGTGTCTCCAACAGGGTAGCTCCAGACCTCTTCACAATTTGACTGTGTCCAAAATGGCAAGAACCAATGGATATTTGCATCACATTTTCCATTGTCCATTCACTGGACAAGTCAGATGGAAAAGCCCAATTTATTATCAGAGCATAATATGAGGGCTTGCATAGAAGGAAAGCTGTTATTGGGAAACATGAGTACAATGGTGTACTGTAGGAAATACATATTATGTACATTTTAAAAAATGTAATTGTAGGCCAAAATTGCTGGTTTGCAAGATGCACTTTCCATGATGTTCAGATATAGAAAAGCAAGATGTACTGTCATGGGAACACTCATATGAAGTTATTTGTGGAATCTACATATAAATAGGAAAATAGTTAATACAGCCTAGTATATTTCTATAACATTTATTTTAGTGAACTTATAATGTTTCTTTGCATTAAATTATTAGATTATATCTTTAGATCATATTGTTACTAAATTAATAGGTAATACATATTTTTATTCAAAAATAAATTGTGCATCTAATGTCTACCAATTAATGTACTTGTAGATGTATCTTATCTTAACTTGAGTCTTTGATGCCCCTAATGAGGCGTGAAGGACTCTTCTCCCATGGGGAAGTTTTTCTTTTTCAGGAGGGAGGAGAGCTTTCCCAGGTAATGTGTCTAGAGTGTTGGGCAGAAGAATCTGGGACTACACCACACCAGTTCTCTGCTTAATCCACGTCATTTGCCTTCTATCCCAGCTATGTTTCCAGTGTCCTCTGGGTGTTTCCAAGAGCAACAGGAAACGAATAAATCTCTGGTGAGTTGTTTATTTGTTCTTCACTTTGTTTTACATTGTATTTTCTGAGTTTTTGGGTGTCTGTGAATTAAAAAGGAAAAGTAGAAATAAGTAAAACTCAGGTTGAAGGAAATATACATAAATAAGATAAAGCTGACCTGTAGATATAGGCAGGTTATAAGAGCTTAGAGTTGTCTAAGTTGGGTGCAAATTTTCCTCTGATCTTTCTGATGCCGAGACAAAAAAGGCAGTCATATTTGTTACGTGATTGGAGTGGAACCCGAGAAGAGAACATGCTGTGTTCTTGTGGGACAGGAAAGCTTGCGTGCACCAAGTCCGAACCACCACCTTCATTGGTGACATAGATTATGTGCTGGAACATATTTCACACCGGCCTGGCAGTAACCACTTGTAGTGTTGTACAGTGGAAACGGTCATCTTCCGCTAAAGCACAGTGTGTTTTGCAGTGGAAATGGTCATCTGCCGCTAAAGCACAGCTTCCATCGTAAGATATGCTCCTTGCTCAAAGAGTGTGGTCCCAAACAGCTTTTGGGAGGTCCTCCTTGATTCATGGATGAAACCCAGAACATCTTGAGGACTGAGTTAACCATAGGTCCTTAAATAACTCTCCACACTTTTTCTTACTTTGTCTCTACATGCAGGGTGTGCAGCAGCCTGTTCAAAGTCATATTTTCTGGGAAATATTTCCAGTGTTTATTTGCACTTTAGCCCACTCTGTGTAGTCTTAACTTATTTCTTCTAAACTCACCATTAACCTAAATAATAGTCAAATTTAGGGGGACTGTATTTGCCTTACTCGAGTCTTCTACCATAGTTGAAACTGTCGTACCTGAGTGAGAGAGAAACGCCACACTTTGAGACGAATTCAGGAGTCCTTTATTAGCCGGTGACTGAGAGACGGCTAACGCACGAAATTCTCTCGGCCCCGAAGAAGGGACTAGATTTTCTTTTATAATTTGGTTTAGAGAGGGGAGGGGGGATTCTAGCTGCAGCAACTTTACAGAAGAAATAAACAGACAAAAAAGTTAAAAAGACAGATGGTTACAGGAAAACAAACTGTTCCAGGTGCAGGGGCTTTAAATTCACCAAAAAGTGATAGGTGAGGGGGCTCTGGGCATTATCTGCCGGACAAATGTGGGGGCTTTATGATACTATCTCTGAGTAATTTGCTGGGAACTGCGGACATCTCTTGTCTCAGCACTTTATCAGTTAATTGCACTCTTTGATATGTTGAAAATCAGCTTGCACAAGTTAAAGTCCTTGAGGAAAAGGGGTGGGTAAGAAGCCCTTGATGTTTTGTAAATGAAGGAGCCAAATGGAATTTGTCTGGTTTTCTCAGCTAAGGGAGAGTCTATTCATATTAAAAACAAGGTTAGCTATCTAAGGAACATCTATTCATGTTAATACAACGTTGGGTATTACAAAACATCTGTTCATGATCTGGAAATTCTTCTGTGTTAGTTCTGTTAAAAGAAAAACTTTAAAGGAGTTTAATTGAGCAATAAACGATTCACAAATCGGACAGTCCCCAGAATCACAGCAGATTCACAGAGACTCCAGCGCAGTCATGTGGTGGAAGAAGATTTATAGACAAAAGGGAAATGGCATACCGAAATCGGAAGTGAGGTACAGAAACAACTCAGCGTTTGCCTTGTTTGAACACAGTTTGAACATTTGGCAGTGCCTGAGTTGTTGAAGTTTGGCCATTGGGATTGGCCAAGATGTAGCTGTTGTTCCAGGTGCATACTCTCAAGTTATTTTTTCATTCTTGTATACCTATTAAGGTAGGTTGCAGTTCATCCACAAGTACTCATATATAGAATTATGGAGTCCTTCTCAGGCCATACTTAGTTCACTTTAACAATGCCTTCCCTTTGGTTATTTTCTCAATTTTGAGAGATTGGCCAAAACTTCAGTCACTGGTGTCACTATTACCATTGCAAATGTACTTACTTGGTTTAGAAACCCACTGGGAAATAGACCAGTGAGATTTGAAAAGGTGGAACAAGGACTTGAGTAGAAGGTATCTTCTTATGCTGGAACATCCTGTTTATAGGAGAAAAACAAAACCTGGTTTGTTCTAGGATTTATATGTTTCCTTAAAGTCTTAGTTTGATTATGTTACATTTAGCATGAGTGACTCCATTTTGGTTTGGTTTGGTCTGTTGGGACCTATTGCATGAGCTTAGTTCAAAACAATGGCCTCCCATAGTTTTGCTTAAAAAATTCCTCCTTTTGGCTGGGCACGGTGGCTCACACCTGTAATCCTAGCACTTTGGGAGGCTGAGGTGGGCAGATCACGAGGTCAGGAGATTGAGACCATCCTTGCTAATATGGTGAAACCCTGTCTCTACTAAAAATACAAAAAATTAGCCAAGCGTGGTGGCAGGTGCCTGTATTCCCAGCTACTCAGGAGGCTGAGGCAGGAGAATGGCCTGAACCCGGGAGGCGGAGCTTACAGTGAGCTGAGATCGTGCCACTGCACTCCACTCTGTGGGACACACCAAGACTCTGTCTTAGAAAAAAAAAATCCTCCTTTTCAGTCAAGTTCTCACTTCGTTGAGAGTGTGACCAAAATATAGGGCCTTAGCATCACTCTTAGTTACCATTGTTTTGGGTTCCGGTTTTAGCACATCATTCCCACTGTTTTGTGTTTCTGGTTTAGCACGTCACTCCCATTGTTTTGGGTTCCGGTTTTAGCACATCACTCCCATGTTTTGGGTTCTGGTTTTAGCACGTCACTCCCATTGTTTTGGGTTCCTATTTAAGCACATCACTCCCATTGTTTTCATTTCCGGTTTTAGCACGTCACTCCCATTGTTTTGGGTTCCAGTTTTAGCAAGTCACTCCCATTGTTTTGGGTTTCTGGTTTAGCATGTCACTCCCATTGTTTTGGGTTCCAGTTTAAGCACATCACTCCCATTGTTTTGGGTCTCTGGTTTCGCAGGTCACTCATAGGTTACAGTGTCCTTATGGTTGCACATTTTTTTAAAATCTCTTGTCATTCCAGTTGAAGAGATACCATTTGACATTTTAGAGATGCCTGCATGCAAACTCGTAAAACATCTGAGTAAGTACAGTGCACCAGGGAGACTCTTATGACTACTGGGATAATACCAAGAATTTGGTATATGCTCCTTACTCAGGGTCCCCATAAATCAAACCACCTAAAATAAAATAGATTAAAGAATGAATTAGATAAAGAGTTTACTTGCTTAACTAAGTGGGTTTTTTGTTAATTCCCTACAACCAAATTTTTATAATACCCCATGTTTTCTCCACATGCTGTAAGTGTTAGCAGCTGCACAGATACTTAAGATAAGAGTCTCATGATAGTAGAGAAGTCTTGATCTGTGATCTTGGGAAAAGCTGTTCACATTAAGGATGCCATCTTCTTCTGGGGGGAACTGTCCTTGTTAGCTTTACCTTAAGGGTTCCAATGGGTATATGGTTCCAAGTGTGGAGGGACCCTTCTGAGTTGTGAAACTATGAACCCAAAGTTTAAGTTTTTAAAGTTTTGCTGTCATGTGGATGGCAAGGGCAGTCCTTCTCTGATGTTCTCAGAAGATCCAGTCATCAGATTCTAGATTGTGAAGGGGTTGACTGTCCCCAGTGAACCATAAAAGGCTTTCTTTACCTGGTGAAAATACACTTCAGGGTAATAATGTACTGTTTTAACATCAACTCTCTCGCATGGAAGAGCTTTTATACAATCAGAAAGCATGCACTGAAAATGACAACTGAATGAAATCCCTTTATAAAATGTTTAAATGGCCCATCAGGTAATCAAATGTACCTGAAGTTTTGATTGTTTTCCTAGGAATATAGGTTTGACAAACCAAACATTGGTTATAAACTATTTTAGCAGTTTAGAAATCACCACACCAATATATTTAATTTGGATCATTTTCTCTTTCCATGATGAGTTATGGAATGCAGAACTTTTAATAACAAAAGTTTTAAGGACTTAAGAAGGATAAGGTGGCCATCCTGGTTCTTCATAAGTGTGTGCTTAATTAACATTAGACTTACATCCTCTTGAATACCAGCTGTTTCTCCAAATTAGGTGCATGGCACTGGTAACTCATGAGTAGTTATAGGTAATTTGACTTAGACCATGGAGTTTATTTAAATTATATATCTAAACAATTTCAATATTGGTGATTTAGCATGCAAATGTGGCAAAATATTTCCTTGGTATACAATTTTTGTTTTACTTGGGTTAGAAGTTTTATAAACCAGTTGGTCTTTTTATTAAAATTTTGGGATTTTTTTTTTTTTGAGACAGAGTCTCACTGTGTTACCTAGGTTGGAGTGCAGTGGCACAATCTTGGCTCACTGCAACCTCCACCTCCTGGGTTCAAGCAATTCTCTTGCCTCAGCCTCCAGAGTAGCTGGGATTACAGGCACATACCACCACACCTGGCTAATTTCTGTATTTTTAGTAGAGGTGGGCTTTCACCGTTGGCCAGGCTGGTCTCAAACTCCTGACCTCAAGTGATCCACTGGCCTTGGCCTCCCAAAGTGCTGGGATTGCCGACGTGAGCTGCTGCACCCAGCCTAACTTTTGAGAATTCTTAACCAGTCCAATTCTTGGGGTATCTTGGAACTTATGGGGAATTTTTACCCATGATATTAAAGTTATTAGAAATCTGTGTTCACAAGTGTTTTTTAGGGTCCTTTTCATTCTTTCATGAATCTTCTAAGAGACACCATATTCTAGAATTTTGCATGCTTGTGAAGTTTTTAGAAACTGCATCACCATTAAGCAATTAACTGTGGAAATGACTTTAAATAGTTATAGTTAAAGACAATTGACAAGGAAATTTGGTTATTTTTGTGGTCTACAATAACTTAATAACCATAATTAGGGTGGATGTGGTGGCTCATGCCTGTAATCCCAGCACTATGGGAGGCCGAGGTGGAAGGATCACGAGGTCAGGAGATGGAGATCATCCTGGCTAACACAGTGAAATCCGTCTTTACTAAAAATACAAAAATTAGCCTGGCATGGTGGTAGGTGCCTGTAGTCCCAGCTACTTGGGAGGCTGAGGCAGGAGAATGGCATGAACCTGGGAGGTGGAGGTTGCAGTGAGCCAAGATTGCACCACTGTACTCCAGCCTGGGTGACAGAGCAAGACTCCATCTCAGAAAAAAAAAAAAAAAAAATCAAGAATTTTAGAAATCCTATACAATTTTAGAATGGATTGATGACATACACTAAATATAACCTGAAGAAGGTTCAACATTATTTTTTATTTTGACAGTGCTACCCATGTGACTTAACATGTTAAATAGTCCTGTTTACCTCTCTTTTGGGTGCTTCAGGGGCCTCTGTAGTATCCCAAAGTTAGAGGTCAGAAAAGACAATTTTGAAGTTGAAATTTGATTTTGGGAAGCCTATTAAATATATTAAAGGTTTAAACACTTGATGTTATGAAATAGAATTCCACGTCACCATAAGTCATTCATTTACCTAAAATCATGACTTAAAAAATTTTTAAAGGGCAAAAATCTTTACTCATTGATAGGGGGAAGACTTATCTTCACAAACGATCTGCCTCTTGTTTTTCCTTTTTTTTTTTTTGGTAGTTTATTTACAAGGCAAACAAATTTTTCATTTTTTTATTTTATTTTATTTATTATTATTATTATTATTATTATTATTATTATTATACTTTAAGCTTTAGGGTTTATGTGCACAATGTGCCGGTTAGTTACATATGTATACATGTGCCAGTCTGGTGTGCTGCACCCATTAACTCGTCATTTAGCATTAGTTACATCTTCTAATGGTATCCCTCCCCCCTTCCCCCACCTCACAACAGTCCCCAGAGTGTGATGTTCCCCTTCCTGTGTCCATGTGTTCTCATTGTTCAATTCCCATCTATGAGTGAGAACATGCAGTGTTTGGTTTTTTGTCCTTGTGATAGTTTACTGAGAATGATGATTTCCAATTTCATCCATGTCCCTACAAAGGACATGAACTCATCATTTTTTATGGCTGCATAGTATTCCATGGTGTATATGTGCCACAATTTCTCAATCCAGTCTAACGTTGTTGGACATTTGGGTTGGTTCCCAGTCTTTGCTATTGTGAATAGTGCCACAATAAACATACGTGTGCATGTGTCTTTATAGCAGCATGATTTATAGTCCTTTGGTTATATACCCACTAATGGGATGGCTGGGTCAAATGGTATTTGTAGTTCCAGATACCTGAGGAATCACCACACTGACTTCCACTATCGTTGAACTAGTTTACAGTCCCACCAACAGTGTTCCTATTTCTCCACATCCTCTCCAGCACCTGTTGTTTCCTGACTTTTTAATGATTGCCATTCTAACTGGTGTGAGATGGTATCTCATTGTGGTTTTGATGTACATTTCTCTGATGGCCAGTGATGATGAGCATTTTTTCATGTGTCCTTTGGCTGCATAAATGTCTTCTTTTGAGAAGTGTCTGTTCATATCCATTGCCCACTTTTTGATGGGGTTGTTTGTTTTTTTCTTGTAAATTTGTTTAAGTTCATTGTAGATTCTGGATATTATCCCGTTGTCAGATGAGTAGGTTGCGAAAACTTTTTCCCATTTTGTAGGTTGCCTGTTCACTCTGATGACAGTTTCTTTTGCTATGCAGAAGCTCTTTAGTTTAATTAGATCCCATTTGTCAATTTTGGCTTTTGTTGCCATTGCTTCTGGTGTTTTAGACATGAAGTCCTTGCCCATGCCTATGTCCTGAATGGTAATGCCTAGGTTTTCTTCTAGGGTTTTTATGGTTTTAAGTCTAACATTTAAGTCTTTAATCCATCTTGAATTAATTTTTGTATAAGGTGTAAGGAAGGGATCCAGTTTCAGCTTTCTACATATGGCTAGCCAGTTTTCCCAGCACCATTTATTAAATAGGGAATCCACTGCTTCTTTTTGTCAGGTTTGTCAAAGATCAGATAGTTGTACATATGTGGCATTATTTCGGAGGGCTCTGTTCTGTTCCATTGGTCTATATCTCTGTTTTGGTACAAGTACCATGCTGTTTTGGTTACTGTAGCCTTGTAATATAGTTGGAAGTCAGGTAGCGTGATGCCTCCAGCTTTGTTCTTTTGGCTTAGGATTGACTTGGTGATGCAGGCTCTTTTTTGGTTCCATATGAACTTTAAAGTAGTTTTTTCCAATTCTGTGAAGAAAGTCATTGGTAGTTTGATGGGGATGGCATTGAATCTATAAATTACCTTGGGCAGTATGGCCATTTTCATGATATTGATTCTTCCTATCCATGAGCATGGAATGTTCTTCCATTTGTTTGTATCCTCTTTTATTTCATTGAGCAGTGGTTTGTAGTTCTCCTTGAAGAGGTCCTTCACGTCCCTTGTAAATTGGATTCCTAAGTATTTTATTCTCTTTGAAGCTATTGCGAATGTGAGTTCACTCATGATTTGGTTCTCTGTTTGTCTGTTATTGGTGTATAAGAATGCTTGTGATTTTTGTACATTGATTTTGCATCCTGAGACTTTGCTGAGGTTACTTAGCTTAAGGAGATTTTGGGCTGAGACAATGGGGTTTTCTAGATATACAATCATGTCATCTGCAAACAGGGACAATCTGACTTCCTCTTTTCCTAATTGAATACCCTTTATTTCCTTCTCCTTCCTGATTGCCCTGGCCAGAACTTCCAACACTATGTTGAATAGGAGTGGTGAGAGATGGCATCCCTATCTTGTACCCGTTTTCAAAGGGAATGCTTCCAGTTTCTGCCCATTCAGTATGATATTGGCTGTGGGTTTGTCAAAGATAGTTCTTATTATTTTGAGATACGTCCCATCAATACCTAATTTATTGAGAGTTTTTAGCATGAAGCATTGTTGAATTTTGTCAAAGGCCTTTTCTGCATCTATTGAGATAATCATATGGTTTTTGTCTTTGGTTCTGTTTATATGCTGGATTACATTTATTGATTTGTGTATATTGAACCAGCCTTGCATCCCAGGGATGAAACCCACTTGATCATGGTGGATAAGCTTTTTGATGTGCTGCTGGATTCGGTTTGCCAGTATTTTATTGAGGATTTTTGCATCAATGTTCATGAAGGATATTCGTCTAAAATTCTCTTTTTTGGTTGTGTCTCTTCCCGGCTTTGGTATCAGGATGATGCTGGCCTCATAAAATGAGTTAGGGAGGATTCCTTCTTCTTCTATTGATTGGAATAGTTTCAGAGGGAATAGTACCAGTTCCTCCTTGTACCTCTGGTAGAATTTGGTTGTGAATCCATCTGGTCCAGGACTTTTTTTGGTTGGTAGGCTATTGATTATTGCCACCATTTCAGCTCCTGTTATTGGTCTATTCAGAGATTCAACTTCTTCCTGGTTTAGTCTTGGGAGAGTGTATGTGTCAAGGAATTTATCCATTTCTTCTAGATTTTCTAGTTTATTTGCGTAGAGGTGTTTGTAGTATTCTCTGATGGTAGTTTGTATTTCTGAGGGATCAGTGGTGATATCCCCTTTATCATTTTTTATTGTGTCTATTTGATTCTTCTCTCTTTTTTTCTTTATTAGTCCTGTTAGCAGTCTATCAATTTTGTTGATCCTTTCAAAAAACCACCTCCTGGATTCATTAATTTTTTGAAGGGTTTTTTTGTTGCTATTTCCTTCAGTTCTGCTCTGATTTTAGTTATTTCTTGCCTCTGCTAGCTTTTGAACGTGTTTGCTCTTGCTTTTCTAGTTGTTTTAATTGTGATGTTAGGGTGTCAATTTTGGATCTTTCCTGCTTTCCCTTGTGGGCATTTAGTGCTATAAATTTCCCTCTACACACTGCTTTGAATGTGTCCCAGAGATTCTGGTATGTTGTGTCTTTGTTTTCATTGGTTTCAAAGAACATCTTTATTTCTGCCTTCATTTCGTTATGTACCCAGTAGTCATTCAGGAGCAGGTTGTTCAGTTTCCATGTAGTTGAGCAGTTTTTAGTGAGTTTCTTAATCCCGAGTTCTAGTTTGATTTCACTGTGGTCTGAGAGACAGTTTGTTATAATTTCTGTTCTTTTACTTTTGCTGAAGAGGCCTTTACTTCCAAGTATGTGGTCAATTTTGGAATAGGTGTGGTGTTGTGCTGAAAAAAAGGTATATTCTGTTGATTTGGGGTGGAGAGTTCTGTAGATGTCTATTAGGTCCGCTTGGTGCAGAGCTGAGTTCAATTCCTTGGTATCCTTGTGAACTTTCTGTCTCATTGATCTGTCTAATGTTGGCAGTGGGGTGTTAAAGTCTCCCATTATTATTGTGTGGGAGTCTAAGTCTCTTTGTAGGTCACTCAGGACTGGCTTTATGAATCTGGATGCTCCTGTATTGGGTGCATATATATTTAGGATAGTTAGCTCATCTTGTTGAATTGATCCCTTTACCATTATGTAATGGTCTTCTTTGTCTCTTTTGATGTTTGTTGGTTTAAAGTCTGTTTCATCAGAGTCTAGGATTGCAACCCCTGCCTTTTTTTGTTTTCCATTTGCTTGGTAGATCTTTCTCCATCCTTTTATTTTGAGCCTATGTGTGTCTCTGCACGAGACATGGGTTTCCTGAATACAGCACACTGATGGGTCTTGACTCTTTATCCAATTAGCCAGTGTGTGTCTTTTAATTGGAGCATTTAGTCCATTTACATTTAAAGTTAATATTGTTATGTGTGAATTTGATCCTGTCATTATGATGTTAGCTGGTTATTTTGCTCGTTAGTTGATGCAGTTTCTTCCTAGTCTTGATGGTCTTTACAATTTGTCATGTTTTTGCAGTGGTTTGTACCGATTGTGCCTTTGCATGTTTAGTGCTTCCTTCAGGAGCTCTTTTAGGGCAGGCCTGGTGATGACAAAATCTCTCAGCATTTGGTTGTCTGTAAAGTATTTTATTTCTCCTTCACTTATGAAGCTTAGTTTGGCTGGATATGAAATTCTGGGTTGAAAATTCTTTTCTTTAAAAATGTTGAATATTTGCCCCCACTCTCTTCTGGCTTGTAGAGTTTCTGCCAAGAGATCAGCAGTTAGTCTGATGGGCTTCCCTTTGTGGGTAACCCGACCTTTCTCTCTGGCTGCCCTTAACATTTTTTCCTTCATTTCAACTTTGGTGAATCTGACAATGATGTGTCTTGGAGTTGCTGTTCTCGAGGAGTATCTTTGTGGTGTTCTCTGTATTTCCTGAATCTGAATGTTGCCCTGCTTTGCTAGATTGGGGAAGTTCTCTTGGATAATATCCTGCAGAGTGTTTTCCAACTTGGTTCCATTCTCCCTGTCACTTTCAGGTACACCAATCAGATGCAGATTTGGTCTTTTCACATAGTCACATATTTCTTGGAGGCTTTGTTCATTTCTTTTTATTCTTTTTTCTCTAAACTTCCCTTCTCACTTCATTTCATTCATTTCATCTTCCATCACTGATACCCTTTCTTCCAGTTGATCGCATCAGCTCCTGAGGCTTCTGCATTCTTCATGTAGTTCTCCAGCCTTGGCTTTCAGCTCCATCAGCTCCTTTAAGCACTTCTCTATATTGGTTATTCTAGTTATACATTCGTCTAAAGTTTTTTCAAAGTTTTCAACTTCTTTGCCTTTGGTTTGAATTTTTCCCTGTAGCTCGGAGTAGTTTGATCGTCGGAAGCCTTCTTCTCTCAGCTCGTCAAAGTCATTCTCTGTCCAGCTTTGTTCCATTGCTGGTGAGGAACTGCATTCCTTTGGAGGAGGAGAGGTTTTCTGCTTTTTAGAGTTTCCAGTTTTTCTGCTCTGTTTTCACCCCATCTTTGTGGTTTTATCTACTTTTGGCCTTTGATGATGGTGATGTACAGATGGGTTTTTGGTGTGGATGTCCTTTCTGTTTGTTAGTTTTCCTTCTAACAGACAGTACCCTCAGCTTAAGGTCTGTTGGAGTTTGCTAGAGACCCATTCCAGACTCTGTTTGCCTGGGTATCAGCAGTGGTGTCTGCAAAACCATGGATTTTCGTGATCTGCGAATGCTGCTGTCTGATCGTTCCTCTGGAAGTTTTGTCTCAGAGGAGTACCCGGTCGTGTGAGGTGTTAGTCTGCCCCTACTGGGGGGGGGTTCCTCCCAGTTAGGCTGCTCAGGGGTCAGGGGTCTGGGACCCACTTGAGGAGGCAGTCTGCCCATTCTCAGATCTCCAGCTGCGTGCTGAGAGATCCACTGCTCTCCTCAAAGCTGTCAGACAGGGACATTTAAGTCTGCAGAGGTTACTGCTGTCTTTTTGTTTGTCTGTGCCCTGCCCCCAGAGGTGAAGCCTGCAGAGGCAGGCAGGCCTCCTTGAGCTGTGGTGGGCTCCACCCAGTTTGAGATTCCTGGCTGCTTTGTTTACCTAAGAGAGCCTGGGCAATGGCCGGTGCCCTTCCCCCAGCCTCGCTGCCGCCTTGCAGTTTGATCTCAGACTGCTGTGTTAGCAATTAGCAAGATCCCATGGGCGTAGGACCCTCCGAGCCATGTGCAGGATGTAATCTCCTGGTGCGCCGTTTCCTAAGCCCATCAGAAAAGCACAGTATTAGGGTGGGAGTGGCCCAATTTTCCAGGTGCCATCTCTCACCCCGTTCCTTGACCAGGAAAGGGAACTAACTCCCTGACCTCTTGTGCTTCCCGAGTGAGGCAATGCCTTGCCCTGCTTCGGCTAGTGCACAGTGCACTTCACCCACTGTCCTGCACCCACTGTCTGGCACTCCCTAGTGAGATGAACCCAGTACCTCAAATGGAAATGCAGAAATCACCCATCTTCTGCGTCGTTCATGCTGGGAGCTGTAGAGTGGAGCTGTTCCTATTCGGCCATCTTGGCTCCTCCTCCCATTATTTTTTAATATTTTCTGAAAATCTTCTTTAAAGAGAGAAAGCCAAATGTCACCCACTTTTTCATAAAACCTTATAGGCAAATCTATTATTCTTTTTTTTTTTTTTGAGATGGATTTTCCCTCTCGTTGCCCAGGCTGGAGTGCAATGGTGCGATCTCGGTTTACTGCAATCCCCTGCCTCCCAGGTTCAAGCGATTCTCCCGCCCCAGCCTCCTGAGTAGCTGGGATTAGAGGCATGCCCCACCATGCCCAGCTAATTTTGTGTTTTTAGTAGAGACAGGGTTTTTCCTTGTTGGTCTGGCTGGCCCTGAACTCCTGACCTCAGGTGATCCACCTGTCTCGGCCTCCCCAAGTGTTGGGATTACAGGCGTGAGCCACTGCCCCTGGCCATGTTTTTTTTTAAAGATAGCGTCTTGCTCTGTCACCCTCCTCACCACATTATAGCTCTGGGGGCCAAGCTGCATCACAATGGAAATCATGGAGCCACAGGAAGAATCCACTCAGCTTTGCAAGATGCTGCCCAAGGGGTTGCTTGGAGTAACCAAATTAACATTTTTCATTCTGCTCAGAGCAAAATACATGTGACAAAACATAGACACGAGCCACTTTGCTTAGCACACAGTGTCAAACTGGTAAGACTCAAACTTGCTCCCAGATAGGCCGTGCCATCTCTAAATCTTTTTAGAAGCTTCTGCATATTAATAGGCATCCCTAAGTGAGACTAATTTGGGAGCCATCATTTTTAAATGCACTTCATGGCATTATTCATTTGGAATGTTCCACTGTAAGTTATCTTTAGTAAGATTTTGCCATTTCTGTAAGACTTTGCTGCTTCCCAGGCCTAATGAATTAGCCAGAAGGAACTTAGTTTTCCAGAAATTAAGGATCCTATTTTTACCTAATATATTGGCTTTACTCCCAGGTTCCCTTGATTGACTTAGCCAATGATTTTTTTTTCCTACCTAAGCATGCGAGGAAAATGAAACAAAGGGGTAGAACACAAAAATCCCTGTGAATTTTGAAAAGCCAAATTTTACAACCCTCCAATATTATCATTTGCTACCACTTTCCTTCTGACCCATTCAGATGTAGGGGGCCTCTAACTGGAACTGGATTCAAGCCAGTTAACTACTGGATCAAATCTGATCCTGGACCCGGTCCCGTTTCTGTCATAACTTCTAAAACATCCAGCCAGTCATGGCTGGATAGCAGTTTGGAACAGAAATTTGCTCAAAGAAACTCAGAGCTCAAAACACAAATCCATGGAGCTCTGAAATCCGAGAGAGAATTTACCACGATCCCCAGCTGCTCTGAGAGGTCAAAGGGCACAAGTGTTACAGAATCCTGAGGCATCAATTTTCTGCCTGAAACCTCTGGCTGGTGGCACATTTACCTGTGTTTTGCTCGAGCCCACTGGGTTCGTTCTGTCCACTCGGCTCATGCTAGTGGTCTGGATCCCACACCTGCCAAGGGTGAGCTGGGTACAGAGCAGTGAAGGGTGTGTGAGCAAGCGAGCATGGGATCTGGCCACTGCACACAGCCAAGCATGCCAGCTGCAGTGGTGTGGGCAGCTCCAGGCACCGGCACAGGTGCCAGCTCCCTGTGAGGCTGCAGCTGGACCAGGCCGACTGCAAACAGCTTCCACTGTGGGTATCAGGGAATGCAGTGGTGCCCAGAAGCTTAGAGATGCAGGAACTGCAGAGCCCCAAAGAAGGTGTCACAGCCCTGGCTTGGGGAGCTCCTAGGTCTGGGCTCCCTGAAGGGCCACAGCTCTTCTCTCCTTCTCTCTTCTCTTCTTCTTGCCTGCAATTTGGCAAGCAAGGGGTGCGTTTCAGCCCTGTTTATGTTGCAACTCTTTCAGCCCTGCTAGTTGGCAGGTCCCGAGTTCTTGTCCTGAGTCCAGGAAGAATGAGGTATGTGGGCAAGTAGAAGGTGAGCAAGGTGAAGAGGTGCTTTATTGAGCAACAGTACAGCTCAGAGGAGACCTGCAGTGGGTAGCTCCTTTCTGCAGGCAGGTCATCCCAACGTCTGTTCAGCTCTCAGCAGCTGAGAGAGACGCACGGTGGTTAGCTGTGCACACGATGCCCAGGCTGTTCGAGCTGAGGAGTGCCTTCAGGCCAGTGCTGAGCCACCCTTAGCCCCACCTCAACCTCCCTCCTGTGCTCGTCAGTGCCCAAAGTCTGGAGGGGGCTGAGGTGGCAGGGGGCTGGCATGTCAGCACTGCCCTGAGCTTGCACAAACTGGGCTGGGTTGCGACTGTACCCGGGTTCAGCCTCAACTTGGATCCGAAGTTGGAGTGGGCTCTGGGAGCGGAGACGCCAGGTGGTGGGACCAGGTACAACTGAGCCTGCGGGGCAGGGGGGCTTGCTGGGCCTCTGAGAGTGCAAAGATGCCCGGGTTTGCAGTCATGGCTGGATGGCTGCAGCTGTGCCTGGGAGGGCGGGGCTCCTGCCTACCAATTTAGAAGGGGTGGGGCTCCCCCCCCCGTTCCTGGCTCCCACCAGCTTCGAGGAGCGCACAGCCCCAGCCACTCCTCCCCACAGCAGCCAGTGTCTCCGTAGCAACTTCTCCACGTGGGCCACTGCTGCCATCACAGAGCAGTCCTTGCAGGTGCCTTTCTTGTACCTCAGCACTCCTGGGGGTCATTAGAAGCCCTAGCAACACTGCTCACCACACTATAACTCCGGAGGCCCTAGCAGTCCTGCTACCACAGATCCCACTTCTGATACCATCTATTAAAAGAAAATCTTCAGCTGAATTAAATTTAAAGGAACTTAATTGAGCAATGAATGATTCACGAATCAGGCAGCCCCCAGAATCACAGCAGATTTGGTGAGACTCCAGCACAGCTACATGGTGGAAGATTTATAGACAATAAAGGGAACGTGATGTACAGAAGTCTGAAGTGAGGAGTGAGGTCCAGAAGCACCTGAGTCTGTTACAGTTCTCAGCAGTGAGGTCCAGAAGCAACTGGACTGGTTACAGTGCTCAGCATTTGCCTTATTTGAACACAGCTGAACACTCAGCAGTGTGTGAGTGGCAGAAGTTTGGCTGTTGGGATTGGTCAGGACTCAGCTATAGTTACAGGCGCATACTCCTAAGTTAGGTTTTCAGTCTTTCTACCTATTAAGTTAGGTTGCAGTTTGTCCACAGGGACTCAAATCTAGAAGTACAGAGTCCTTCCCAGGCCATATTTAGTTCACTGTAACAGTTCCTATTATGACCTCACTGACAGTTCTTTTTCTCTGAATTCTCCTTTCTTCTCAACAGCTTATCCAAATGTTCCGTTGGTCCCTGTTCATCCCGCCCTGCAGTTCTCCTTGACTGATTCAGCCCTTTGTGGTTTGCAGTCCTGTTTCTCTACAGCTTGGACCCCTTCAGTCTTTCCATCATAAGTTTAGCTCTCTGTTGAATGCTTCTTTGTAGCTACACAAAAGTTACCTTAAGCTCAAAAAATTCAAAGTGAAAGCCACATCCTCCTCTCTTCCCTTATGTATATGGTATTACTACCATGCAGCCAGTGACCCAAAATGGGATTTCTTCTGGGCTTTTCTTGGTTAGATTCAGGCTCATCTGGTGTCAAGCTTTGTTACTTTTGTTTCCTTGTTCTTTTATTTTTAATTTTTTTTCTTTTGAGACAGAGTTTCACTCTTGTTGCCCAGGCTAGAGCGCAGTGGTGTGATCTTGGCTCGCTGCAGCCTCCACCTCCCGGGTTCAAGCAATTCTCCTGCCTCAGCTCCTGAGTAGCTGGTATTACAGGCATTTGCCACCACGCCCGGCTAATATTGTATTTTTAGTAGAGATGGGGTTTCTATGTTTTGATCAGGGTGGTCTCGAACTCCTGACCTCAGGTGATCCACCCGCCTCAGCCTCCCAAAGTGCTGGGATTACAGGCGTGAGCCACCGTGCCTGGCCTGCTCGTTGTTTTCATCTCATCCTGATTTCTGAATACAGGAGAGGAGCTGAGTTGGTGTTCACTAACAAGCACGAAAGCTTTGTTATATTTACAGTGTCATTCTTGGCAAAACCTGAATGGTATGTTTGTGGGGTGATGAGATTCAGTCCCCTGTGACCTGTACATCTGGCCAAAACTGTGGTGACATCCTTAGGAATCCATGGGGAGAGAGAAAGCATTCAGGAGTTAGTGGGTCACGTTTGACAAGCGCCAATAAAGAAATATGCAAAGACAAAAAACAAGAAGAACATTGTCATATTTTCTACCTTTTGTCTATATAAATTTATGTCAATGATTCTAGCTTATGTTAATATGCAATGTATACAATATGCTAACATATACAATATGTTTTTATAGTTTAAACATTTCTGTCATGTTTTCAGATTCTTTAAAGATTATATTACGCTTCCTATTTCAGATAGCTGTTTAAAATGAGTAAGGAAAAACGGATGTGTATATCAGTTCTAACTGTTTATGGACTAAAACTAATTGATTTCTTGGTTAAGAACAAAAAGTGACAACCTAATTACTGAAAATGTTAAGTAGGCAATTATAGTTTTAGCTTTAACGTAAAATATTAACTATGCTCCTTTCTTGCATTTTTAACCTAATACTCAATATAAATCGCCACATGCCATGTTTCAGATCAAGGTTCTACTTGTGATCTCTCATGAGTTTTTCAAGGTTTTAATTATCTGAGATGTAACAATGTACCAGTAACCTTACTGGCTTAAACCAGGAATTTATTCTTTTTACATGTCACAATTTTCTTTGTCAAGACACTGGACAGGGTGGTGTGGGTTTGTTGCTTCATGATCTCCCTGGTCTCATCTGTAAGGACTCTAGTGGCTGGGGACGTGAAGCAGGCACCCAGAAGGACTCTAGTGGCTGGGGACATGGAGCAGGCACCCAGCCCTCTCTTTGTGGCCAGCACGGACTTCCTCCCAGTCTGGCAGTCAGGTAGTCAGGTTTGTCTGGCTTCTCCCAGGGTGTGTGTCCAAGAGGCCCAGGCAGAAGCTGTAAGGTCTCTCATGATCATCCCTCAGAAGTCCCAGAGCATCTCTCCTGCCACACTGTCCAGTCGTACTCATCACTGAGATCAGCCATGATTCCAGGTGGGAAGGTGATTAGATTCCACCTCTTGATGAGAAGCATAGTAGGAACCTGCAGCAGTCTTTCATAAACCACAGCTTGTCCTCTGGCCACAAACTATTAACGTTTCTCCCACATGGAAATTATGCTTTGCCCCTCTCAAGAGCCCCAGAATGGTTTTCCTTATGGCACTGGCTGGTAGCCCAACTGAATCCTGAATCAGGTTGTGGTGGCCTGTCATCTGCACCCACACACACAGACACAGTGAGGACTGAATCAGGTTGTGGTGGTCTGTCATTTGACCCCCGACACACAGCCACAGTGGGGACTGAATCAGGTTGTGGTAGCCTGTCATCTGACCCCCCACACACAGCCACAGTGGGGACTGAATCAGGTTGTGGTGGCCTGTCATCTGCGCCCGACACACACAGCCACAGTGAGGGGACTGCTGTGAAAACAGTCGACATTTCCCTTTAGAAGCTGTTGGTGGGAGGCAGGAGGGAGGTGCTGCCCTGCAGGCCCCGTTTAACAGTTGGTCATTCCCATGGGGCGCCTGTTACAGTTCTGTGATTAGTGCCCAGTCCTGGTCCCTGAGAACGGCGCCCAGTCCCGGTCCCTGAGAATGGTGTTTGTGTCCTTTTACTCCTCCCTCTGGGCTTTTGTCATTCTCCATGTTCTTTTTCCTTCAGTGTCTGGGTTGCTGTTGACCAACTTTCCCTGCCTTTTTCTTATGGTCAATAGGGTATTCAATGGCTTCTTTTTCATTTTTTTTTCCTTTTCTTTTCTTTTCTTTTTTTTTTTTTTTTACTTTGGCCTTTTGAGACAAGAAATTATTTCTTTATATTTTCTCTAAATTCTGTTTGAAAACTGAACCTCCTTCTTTAGATCATGTCCCTCTCCTGTCATATTTATTCAATGACAGTTAGGGGAGGCTGGTAGCACTTTCCATGTTCTTCCCAGATGTCTCCTTAGGCAGATCCCTGAGATGATGCAGTGCCCTTTCAGTTTCCATGTTGTGGTCGTAGTTTTCCCACAGTCCCTCAACACGTAACTCTCAGGCCTTTTCTCCAGTTTCCAATGACATTTTCTCACCGTCCTTCAGGCCCTGACCAAGAGTCTTGATGCCCTTCCAGGTTGCATGAATGGTCTCCTTGAGGCCCAGTTACAGGTCAGCCTCACAGTCGTGGCACATATTGTAGCTTCTGATTACCACAGCAGCTCATTTCCAGCTGCCATATTCTGTTCCAGTTATCTGTTCTGAAGAAACCATCCCCAAAAGTTGGCAGCTTAAAACAACTCATTATTACTTGTTGTTTGGCTTAGAGAGTCTTGGTGGCCAGCTCATCTCACACACATTTGCAGCCAAGCTGGATTGTGTGAAAGCACAGTGGGGTGGTGTGCAGGGTGGCCCACTAGTGGTTGGGAGTGGATGTTGCTGGAGGCTCACTAGTTGTTGGGAGTCGGTGTTGCTGGAGGCTCAGTGGGGGATGTCAATGCGTGTAGCTAGTCATGGACTGGCCATGTGGTTTCCATCATGAGGTCTCAGGGGAGTGGGATTTCCTGCCTGGTGACTGGCTTTCTCCTGGATAAGTGTTCTGTTTTCTCAGCCTGGCTTCTGAAGTCCCCAAATACCACCTTTGTCACCTTCTGTTGGCCAAACAAGTCAGTAGTCTGGGCAAGGTTTAAGGGGAATTGGTTCTCACAGAGACAGGAGCAGGAAAGAATTTGTCACCTTTAGTCTACCAGAAATGAGATTTTTATAACAAGTTTGTTCCAAATACATTCCAGTTCCCCTTGTGAATACTTTTTTGACTCACAGGGTATTTCAAAGTTTATTACTTGGCTTTCAGACATTTGAGGCTTTTCTGGATATCAATTTGTTGTTGGTTTCTAATTTAATTTCAAGTGTTCAGACAACATACTTTGTATACTATTTCAGGCTTGAACCTTTTCTCAATCGATCGACATAGAGTCTATCTTGGTACTGCCAAGTACCATTTGGGTCAGGATTTTGTCATTTAGATCCGTATTTTTCCTATATTTTTATCTGGTTGTTCCATCAGTTACTGAGAGAGCAGTATTAATTCACCAGCTATAATTTTGAATTGTCAATTTCCTGCTTTTGTTCTGTTGTTTTTGATTCACATACGTTGAGGCTCTGTGTGTGTGTGTGTGTGTACTTTGTGTGCACTTTGAGGCACAATTTATAATTGTAACATCATCGTCTCTGATTCTTTTATTTTTATTAAATTACCCTGTTTATTTCTGGTGATATATTTTGTTCTGAAGCCTCTTTCATCTAGTGTTAACATCTCTGTTGAAGCTTTTTCTGATTAGTGTCTGAATAGCATATTTTTACGATTAGTGTCTGCATAGCATATTTTTTCTCATACTTTGTTTGTGTCTTTGTGTTTAAATTGTGTCTCTGTGGATGCCATATTGTTGGGTCTTGCCTTCCTCTCAGGTCTGGCAGTCTCTGTCTTAAGTAGAGTATTTGTCCAGTTACATTGTAACTAATCATTGCTAAGGTTGGATTTAGGTCTGCCATTTTTCTAGTTATTTTCTATTTGTTTGTTTATTATTTTTAAGACAGGGTCTTGCTCTGTCACCCAGACTGTAGTGCAGTGGTGCAATCTTGGCTCACTGCAAACTCTGCCTCCCAGGTCCAACCAATCCTCGCTTGAGCCCCCTGAGTAGCTGGGACTACACGTGCATGGCACCACACCTGGTTAATTTTTATATTTTTTGTAGAGATAGGGTTTTGCCATGTTGCACAGGCTGGTCTTGAACTCCTGAGCTCAAGCAACCTACCCACCTTGGCCTCCCAAATTGTTCAGATTACAGGCATGAGCCACCATGCCTGGCCTTCATCTGTCTTTTGATCTTCTATATATTCTTTCCTAACTTCTTTTGGGTTAAATATTTCTAAATATTCCAGTTTGATTAATCTTTTGGCTTTTTGAAATAATTTTTTATAGGCTGGGCATGTTGGCTTATGCTCGTAATCTCAGCTCTGTGGGAGTCCAAGGGAGGTGGATTGCTTGAGCCCAGGAGTTTGAGACCAGCCTGGGCAACATGGCAAAACCCTCTCTACAAAAAAACCAAACCAAAATTTAGACTGACATCTTGATGTGCACCTGTAGTCCCAACTATTCGGGAGGCTGAGGTGGGAGGATTGCTTGAGCCTGGGAGGTTGAGGCTGCAATGAGCTGTGATCATGCCATTGCACTCCTGCCAGGGCAACAGAGTAAGAACCTGTGTCAAAAGGATCATTTTTTATAAATAATTTATTATTTCGAATTTTGGTAACAAACACATACCTTAAAATTTACCATCATAACCAGTTGTAAGTATAGAGTTTTGTAGAGTTAAGAATATTTGCAGTGTTGTGTAGCAGATTTCTAGATTTTTTTTTTTTATCCTGGAAAAGTCTATACCCATTCAAGAACTATTTATTTCCCCTTCCTTCCACCTCCTGGCAAGTACTATTCTACTTTGTGTTTCTAAAAATTTGGCTTATATACCTAGGGTTATATAATATTTGTTGTTTTGTAAGTAGGTTCCATGTTATGTGTCAGATGTGTCAGGATTTTCTTCCTTTCTATGGCTGAATAATATTTCTTCATATATATATATATATATATTTCTCTATCTATATATATATCTCCTTTTGTTTATCCATCTATTCCCGGATGGACGTTTTGGTTTCTTCCACCTTGTGGCTGTGTAATGCTCCTGTGAACACATAGGTGTGAACATATCTGTTTGAGGTCCTGCTACTAGTTATTTTGTCTCTGTAGAAGTTGGATGGCTGGATCATATGGTCATTTTATTTTATTTTTTTTGAGGAGCCAGTTCATATTTCCACCAACAGTGTTCAAGGGTTTCAGTTTCACCTGCACTTGTTACTTTCTGTTGGGTTTGAAGTGATGTCCCATTGTGGTTTCTATTTGCATTTCTCTAATGACTAGTGATGTTACACATCTTCTCATATATCTCATGTATCTGTTGGCTATTTGTATATCATCTTTGCATCTTTGGATAAATGTTCTTTGTCCATTTTTTAATCAATTTATTTTGTTGTTGTGTTGTAGCGGAGTTTTTTGGTCATGACCATTCATTTATTTCACAGTTCATTCTTGTTACTTGGGCCAGGGTCATGATCATTCATTATCTCTCAGTTCATCCTCATTACGTTGGGCAAACAGTCATGCTGCAGGGTATAGATTATGTTATTCTGTTACTTTCAGGTAGAATTGGGGTCTAGGTTCTAATTGTTTCTAAGTTTAGATTCTGAATGAGAATCAGCAGACGTAGACCACTGCTGCTGAGGCCTGGGGATTGCTGGGAAAAAGGCAGGAAACAGATACGGACCTGACCATGGAGGGTTTGTGTTTCACGGCTCCCATCTGGGTACCCAAGGAACCTACATGTAGCTCGTGTGTGGAGAGCCTACATTGCCCACTCAAAGCAATTGAGGATGGAACGGTCTTGGGGCTGGAGCTCATTATTTGGAATGATAACCACATCTGCACAGAGAGGAGCTGATAAGATGTTGTCCTTCCATGTATATCTGGGAATACTGTGTAGGGTCTCTCTGTAAGGACAGGGGCAGTATTGGCTCCTTGGCCTCTAGTTAACCTCACAAGTAGTCTAGTAAAGGCTTTGCAAACTTGTCACCATCTGTGGACATTCTGGCCAGCTCTTGTTTTCACCCTACTGACTTCTTCAGACACTAGGCTTTTGCTTTAGACCATTCATGGTTTTTCTTCCTCTTCAAATCAGTAATCAATAAATACTCTTCAAGTCAATAAATTTCCACTCCTTTAGGAAACCCTGATCTTCGGGTCGCACCACAAGGTTTAATTAACTCGTTTGATTGTTTTTCTGTTTTCTTGGGTTTTTTTTTTTCCTTCTTCCTGGGGGTTTCTAGTAATTCTAGTTTGATGTCTCACTTTCTCCATTTTTTATTTCTTAGTTTTCTTCTGTGATTATTTTCACTGCAGTTGCAGGGCCTAATCCTGGGTTGGCAGAGAACTAGCACTTACTCTGCCCTAATTAGAATCCAGGAGAGATAGGAGGTGCCCTAGTGTGAAAATGTGTTTGCTCCTCTCTGCTTCTGGTAGTCTCTCTGTAGGAGTTCTTTACGTATTCTGAATGTTCACTTCTTATGAGATACATGATGAGCTACTATAGGTTGAATGTCTCTGATCCAAAAATCTGAAATCCCAAATGCTCCAAAGTCTGAAACTTTTTGAGTGCCAACATGACACTCAAAGGAAATGCTTATTGGAGCATCTCAGACTCGGGTGTTTGAATTCGAGATGTTCAACCAGTAAGAATAATGCAAATATTACAAAATCTGAAATACATCCCAAGCATTTCAAATAAGGGACACTCAACTGGTATTTTCTTTTATTCTACAGTTTGCCTTTTACCCTGTTGGTTGTGACCTTTGAGGAACAGAAGTTTTTAGGTTTGATATATTTTTGCTTTTACTGCCTGAGATTTTAATGTCATATCCTAAAAATTATTGACAAATTCAACGTCATAAGGCATTTTCCAAATTTGTTTTCCCTAGGAGTTTGATAGTTCTAGTTTTACATTTAGGTTTATAATTCACTTTGAATTAATTTTAACATGGTGTAAGGTAAGAGTCCAACTTCATTGTTTTGCATGTAGATATACAATTTTCCCAACACCATTTGTTGAAGAAAGTGTCCTTCGCCATTGAGTGGTCTTGGCATCCTTGTGGAAGATCACTGGACCATATATGCCAGGGTTGGTTTCTGAGGTCTCCGTTGTGTTGGTCCATAAGTGGGTCAAGAGTGTCTTTTTGCCATGACCACATATTTTTTTTTTGGCTTATTGTAGTTTTGTAATTGTTTTGAGACCTTTAATTTTGTTTTGTTTCAAGACTGATTTGCCTATTCATGGGCCCCATAGATTCCATATGAATTTTAGGATAGGATTTTCTGTTTATCAAAAATGTCATTGGAATCTTTATAAGGATTGTATTGAATCTAGGTCACTTCGAGTAGCGTTGACATCATTCCAAGATGAAATCTTTTAATCTGTAAACCCAGCTTTTCTTTTCATTTATTTGTGTTTAATTTCTTTTAACAGTGTTTTGTAGTTTTCTGTGTTCAAATCTTTTGCCCTCTTGGTTAAGCTTATTTCTAATTTTCATAATGTTGTTGTAAATGTAATTCTTTTTTTTTTTTTTTTTGAGATGGAGTCTTGCTCTGTCTCCCAGGCTGGAGTACAGTGGCACTATCTCAGGTCACTGCAACCTGCACCTTCCCTATTCAAGCGATTCTCCAACCTCAGCCTCTCAAGTACCTGGGATCACAGGTGCGCGCCACCATGCCAGGCTAATTTTTTGATATCTTTAGTAGAGACAGGGTTTCTCCATGTTGACCAGGCTAGTCTTGAACTTGTGACCTCAGGTGATCTGCCCACTTTGGCCTCCCAAACTGCTGGGATTGCAGGCATGAACCACCGCACCTGGCCAAATATCATTCTTTTTAAAAATTTCTTTTCTTTTGTTTTCTCTTTTCTTTTCTTTTCTTCCTCTCTCTTTCTTTCCTTTCTTTCTTTTTTTTTGAGACCGCATCTCACTCTGTTTCCTAAGCTGGAGTGCAGTGGCACAATCTCAGCTGACTGCAACCTCCACCTTCCAAGTTCAAGCAATTCTCCTGCCTCAGCCTCCCAAGTAGCTGTGACTACAGGTGTCTGCCACTACGCCCAGCTAATTTTTGTATTTTTAATAGAGATAGAGTTTTACTATTTATATTAGAGATGAGGTTGGCCCAGCTGGTCACGAACTCCTGACCTCAGGTGGTCCACCCACCTTGGCCTCCCAAAGTGCTGGGATTACAAGTGTGAGCCACTGCACCTGGCCTCTTTTTAAAATTTTATTTGCAGATTGTTCATTGTTAGTTTATAGAAATGCAACTGACTTGTGTGTGTTACTGTATCCTGAAACTTTGTTGAATTTCATTATTCTACCAGTATTTTGTGGAATTTCAGGATTTTTACACATTACATCCTGTTGTCTGTGAACAAAATTTTGTACTTTTTCCTTTCCAATTTGCATCCTTTTTATTACTTTCTCTTGCCTAATTATTCTGAGTAGAAATTCCAGTACTGTGATGAATAGAAGTGGCAGGAAGAAATGTTGCTATCTTATTCCTGATCCTAGAGGAAAAGATTTTAGTTTTTCACCATTGAGTATGATGTTAGCTGTGAGGCTTTCATGTATAATCTTTATTTATTGAGGAGTTTCCATATATTACTAATTCTTTGAGTGTTTTTATTACAAAAAGTGTTCATCTGGCTCTGGAACCAGATAAACGTTGACCTGATAGAATGGATTGGAATGTCCCCTTCTGGTTTTTGAACATTTTTGGAATATTTTGCAGAGGATTGGCATTAATTCTTCTTGAAATGTTTGGTAAATTTTTCCAGTGAAGTTATCTGGACCTGGAATTTTCTTTTTTGGGGGGTTTTTGATTACTGGTTGAATCTTCTTACTAGTTACAGGTCTCTTTGGATTTTTTATTTCTCCCTGATGCAGTATGGCGGTTTGTGTTTCTAGGAATTTATAAATTTATTCTAGGTTGCCCAGTTTTGTGGCATATGGTTGCTCACATTAGTCTCTTGTAATCTTTTTCATTTTTGTGACATCTGTTGTACTGTCACCTCTTTTATTTAAGATTTTAGCATTTGAGATTTCTCTTTTTTTCTTAATATAGCTGTGAGTTTTAAAATTTTTATTGATCTTTAAAAAAAACAAACTCGGTGTTTTTTTTCCTTTTTTTCTGGTCTTATTCTGCTTATCTCTGCTCTAATCTGTTATTTTCTTCCTTTTGCTTGGTTTGTCATTAGTTTTTTTTTTTCCCCCCTTCAGGTGTAATGTTAGGTTATTGATTTGAGATCTTTCTTCTTTTTAATTTAAGCACCTGCAGCTATAAGCTTCCCTTTAGCATGGGTTTGAGATCTTTCTTATTTTTAATTTAAGCATCTGCAGCTGTAAGCTTCCCTTTAGCACTGCCTTTGTTGCCTCCTCCTGAGTTTGGGTATGTCATGGTTTTCATTTGCTTAAACATTTTTTGTCCTATTGCAATATAATTGTGTTGTTTTTAATAAAGGTAATTAATGAAACCCATAATGAATTGTGCTTCTGTTTTTATAATATTTTAAGCATTCTTAACTCAGAAATGTAAATTTTAGAAAAAAATTCCAGGCCAGGCACAGTGTCTCACACCTGTAATCCCAGCACTTGAGGAGGCCGAGGCGGGAGGATCATCTGAGGTCAGGAGTTGGAGACCAGCCTGGCCAACATGGTGAAACCCTGTCTTTACTAAAAATAGAAAAAAATATATAAAAGTTAGCTGGGTGTTGTGGTGGGTGCCTGTAATCCCAGCTACTCTGGAGGCTGAGGCAGGAGAATCACCTGAATCTGGGAGGCGGAGGTTGCAGTGAGCTGAGATTGCACCACTGCACTCCAGCCTGGGTGACAGAATGAGAGTCCGTCTCAAAAAAAAAGAAAAAAGAAAAATTTCAGACATATTTATTTGTATTTCAATTTAGAAACTATGATCTCCTAAGTGTATTGACACAGGAACCTGACATAAAGATAAAGAATAATAAGCATATAACAAAACGGAAACTTGCAAATACCTGTTTTTTATTAATTTTTAATTATATATATTTAAAAATTGCCGGGTGCAGTGGCTTACATCTGTAATCCCAGCACTTTGGGAGGCTGAGGTGGGCAGATCACATGAGGTCAGGAGTTTGAGACCAGCCTGGCCAACATGGTGAAACCTCATCTCTATTAAAAATCAAAAAATTAGCCAGGCATGATAGCATGCATCTGTATTCCCAGCTACTCGGGAGACTGAGGCAGGAGAATTGCTTGAACATGGGAGGCAGAGGTTGCAGTGAGCCAAGATAGTGCCACTGCACTCCAGTCTGGGTGACAGAGTGAGACTCTGTCTCAAAAAAATAAAAATTGTCTGGGCGCGGTGGCTCACAACTATAATCGCAGCACTTTGGGAAGCTGAGGCAGGCAGATCACGTCAGGAGATCGATACCATCCCGGCTAACACGGTGAAACGCCATCTCTACTAAAAATACAAAAAATTAGTTGGGCGTGGTGGTGGGTGCCTGTAGTTCCAGCTACTCCGGAGGTTGAGGCAGGAGAATGGTGTGCACCTGGGAGGTGGAGCTTGCAGTGAGCCGAGATTGCGCCACTGGACTCCAGCCTGGGTGACAGAGCGAGACTCTGTCTCAAAAAAAAAAAATAAAACAAAATAAAACTAAGGTGTGGTTGACATACAAAAATTACACATATTTAATATATACCGTGTGTGTGTGTGTGTGTGTGTGTGTGTGTGTGTGTGTGTGTGTGTGTTACGGAGGTTTTACTTTTGTTGCCCAGGCTGGAGTGCAGTGACACGATCTCAGCTAGCTGCAACCTCCGCCTCCCGGGTTCAAACAATTCTCCTGCCTCAGCCTCCTGAGTAGCTGGGATCACAGGCGTGCGCCCCCATGCCCGGCTAATTATTGTATTTTTTTAGTAGAGACAGGATTTCATCATGTTGGCCAGGCTGATCTCGAGCTCCTGACCTCAGATGATCCACCTGCCTCGGCCTCCCAAAGTGCTGGGATTACAGGTGTGTGACACCGAATATATACATCTTAATGAGTATAGAGATAAGTATTCGCCCCAGGTCTCATCACAACAAATAATGCCGTAAACTTGACCATCACTCCCCATATATTTCTCATTCTCACCCTTTTTAAAAAATGAGACCGGGAGTGGTGGCTCACGCCTGTAATCCCAGCACTTTGGGAGGCCAAGGCAGGTGGATCATGAGGTCAGGAGATCAAGACCATCCTGGCTAACACAGTGAAACCCCGTTTCTACTAAAAATACAGAAAATTAGCCGGGCATGATGGCGGGCACCTGTAGTCCCAGCTACTCGGGAGACAGAGGCAGGATAATGGTGTGAACTCGGGAGGCAGAGCTTGCAGTGAGCCTAGATCGTGCCACTGCACTCCAGCCTGGGCAACAGAGTGAGAATCTATCTCAAAAAAAAAATGAGATGACCATTTCACCTAAAATATATCCTCTTAAGTTTTTTTTTTAAGTGTACAATACAGGACGGCCATGCATCAGAGATATATCTGGGTTCGGTTCCAGACCACTACAATAAAGTGAGTTATACAATCTCTTTTGGTTTCCCAGTGCATGTAAAAGTATGTTTATATTGTGCTGTATAAAGTGTGCAATAGCATATGTCTACAAAGTGTGCACACTTTAATTTACAAATACTTTATTGTTAACATGTGCTAACAGTCATCTGAGCCTTCAGAAAGCTGCAATCTTTTTTTGTGTGTGTGACAGGGTTTTACTCTGTGGCTCAGGCTGGAGTAATTGCAGCCTCAACCTCATGCTCAATCAAACCCCCACCTCAGACTCCTGACTAGCTGGGACTACAGGTGCATGCAACCATGTCCAGCTAATTTTTGTATTTTTTTTTTGTAGAGATGGGGTTTTGCCATGTTGCTTTGATGTTCTGGGCTCAAGCAATCCACCCACCTTGGCCTCCCAAGGAGTTGGGATGACAGTTGTGAGCCACTGCACCTGGCCAAGTTTCAGTCTTCTTGCTGATGGAGGGTCTTGCCTTAATGTAAGGTGGTGGTTGCTGAGCGTTGGGGTGGCTGTGGCTATTTCTTAAAATAAGACACCATTGAAGTTTGCTGTGTCAATTGACTCTCCCTTTCACAAAAGAATTATCTGTAGCATACGATGTTGTTTGATAGCTTTTTACCCACAGTAGAACTTTCAAAATTGGATTCAATGCTGTCAAACCTTCGTACTGCTGTACCAACTAAGTTTATGTATTATTGTAAACCGTTGGGTTCAATTCTGTCAAGCCCTCCTTCTGCTGTACCAACTAAGTTTATTCTAAATCTGTTGTCATCTCAACATTGTTTACACTGTCTTCACCACGAGTAGATTTCATCTCAAGAAACCACTTTCTTTGCTCATCCGTGGAAGCAACTCATCCACTCACGTTTTCTCTGGAGACTGCTGCAGTCTCGCCAGATCTTCAGGCTCTGTCTCTGATTCTAGTGCTCTTGTTATTTCCACCATATCTGCAGTTACTTCCTCCACAGAAGTCGTGAACCCCTGTGTCATCTGTGAGGGTTGGAATAATCTTCCCAACTTCTCTCTCTCTCTTTTTTTTTTTTTTTTTTGAGATGAAATCTTGCCTGGGCTGGAGTGCAGTGATGCGATCTCAGCTCACTGCAACCTCCACCTCCCGGGTTCAAGCAATTCTCCTGCCTCAGCCTCCCAAGTGTTTGGGATTACAGTCACCCCCGACCAGACCCAGCTAATTTTTTTGTGTGTTTTTAGTACAGACAGGATTTCACTATGTTGGCCAGGCTGGTCTCAAATTCCTGACCTCGTGATCCACTTGCCTTGGCCTCCCAACGTGCTGGGATTACAAGTGTGAGCCACCATGCCCGGCCCCAACTTCTCCTAATGTTGCTATTTTGATCTTCTTTTTTAAATCATGAATGTTCTCAATGGCATCTAGAATGGTGAATCCTTTCCAGTAGGTTTTCAATTATTTTGCCCATATCCATCAAAGGAATCACTTTCTAGAGAAGTTATAGCTTTATGAAATATATTTTTTAAGTGATAAGACTTGAAAGTTGAAATTATTCTTTGATCCAAGGGCACCAGAATGAATGTTGGGTTAGTAGGCATGAAAACAATGTTCAGCTCTTTATACATCTCTGTAAAAGCCCTTGAGTCCAGGGGCATTGTCAGTGAGTGGTAATACTTTGAAAGGAATCTTATTTCTTGAGCAGTAGGTGTCAACAGTGGGCTTAAGATATTCAGTAAACCATATTTGTAAACCGATAGTCTGTCATCCAGGCTTTGTTCCCATTTGTAGAGTATAGGCAGAGCTGTGTTTTATCATAATTCTTCAGGGCCCTTGGATTTTCAGAATAGTAAATCATCATTGGTTTCAAGTTAACATCACCAACTGCATTAGGCCTTAACAAAAGAGTCAGCGTGTCCTTTGAAGCCTTAAATCCAGGCATCAACTCCACTCTAGCTGGGAACATCCTGGATGGCATCTCCTTCTAGTAGAGGGCTGTTTTGTCTCCATTGCAAATCTGTTTAGTGTAGCCATCTTAATCAGTTACCTTCTAGATAGCTTTCTGCAGCTTTTCCATCAGTACTTGCTGCTTTATCTTGTGCTTTTATGTTATGGAGATGACTTTTTTCCTTAAACCTCAAGAAACAAGCTCTTCTAGCTTCAGACTTTTCTTCTGCAGCTGCCTCACCTAAGTCTTCATAGAATTGAAGAGAGGCCGGGTGCGGTGGCTGTCACACCTGTAATCCTAGCACTTTGGGAGGCCGAGGCAGGCAGATCACCTGAGGTCGGGAGTTCAACACCAGCCTGACCAACGTGGAGAAACCCTGTCTCTACTAAAAATACAAAAAATTAGCCAGGCGTGGTGGTGCATGACTGTAATCCCAGCTACTCGGGATGCTGAGGCAGGAGAATGGCTTGAAATTGGGAGGCAGAGGTTGTGATGAGCCAAGATCACACCATTGCACTACAGCTTGGGCAAGAAGAATGAAACTCTGTCTCAAAAACAAAGAAAAATAAGTAAAAAGAGAGTTAGGCTTGGGCTTAATGGAATGTTTTCTGTTTTTTTTTTTTTATCTTCTATCTAGACCAATTAAACTTTCTTCATAACAGCAGCAAGATTGTTTAGCTTTTTATCATTCATGTGTTCACTGGAGTAGTACTTTAAATTTCTTTCCAGAACACTTCCTTTGCATTCACAACTTGGCTAAGTGTTTGTTGCATGAGTTCTAGCTACTGACCTGTCTTGCTTACAGCATGCCTTCCTCACTAAGCTTAATTATTTCTTCCTTTTGGTTTAAAGTGACAGACATGCAACTCTTCTTTCGCTTGAACATATAGAGGCTATTGTAGGGTTATTAATTGGCCACATTTTAATATTAATAAAAAGAAGCCTGAGAAAAAGTGAGAGAAAGAGAAATGTCCCATTGGTGGGGCAGTCAGAACAAACGCATTTGTCAATTGTTTGCTGTCTTATCCTGGTGTGATTTGTGGTTCCCAAAACAATGACAACAGTAGCATTAAGGATCACTCCTTACAGATCACCACAACAGATTCAATAATAAAAAGCTTAAAATACTGTGAGAATAACCGAAATGTGACACAGAGACATGAAGTGAGCACGTGCTGTAGGAACAATTGTGCCAGTGAGACCTGCTTATTGCAGGGTGGCCACAAACCTTCAATATGTAAAACACATGGTCACAAAACACAATAAAGCAAAGTGCAGTGAAACAAGATGTGTCTGTCTTTTGATAGACTCTGACAATCTCTATCTTTGAATTGGTACATTCATACCATTAACATTCAAAATGATTATTGATATCATTGGATTAATATCTACTATATTTGTTACTGTTTTCTATTCATTCTCCTCAGTCTTCATTCTTTTTTCTACCACTCTTTTTCTGCCTTTTGCAGTTTTCATTGATGATTTTAGATGACTCCTGTCTTTCTTAGCACGTACTTCTCTTTTTAAAACTTTTTTTTTAACCAGTTGCCACAGAATTTGCAATATACATTTACAACAAATTCAAGTCCACTTTCAAATAACACTATCCCACTATCCCACAAATAAGACTACCTGCTCAACAAACAAAACACCTAATTCCTCAGTAACATTTACAACCAATTCAAGTCCACTTTCAAATAACACTATCCCACTTAACGGGTGACTACCTGCTTAACAAAGAAAACACCTGATTCCTCCCTCCCATCCTTCCATTCCATTCCTTGTATTATTGTTCCTTATTTCACTTGTGTATAAGCATACATAATCTATTTGTGTGTATTTATTATTATCTACAAACTTATTGGTCAAATCAATTATGAATAAATACATGTTTTTATTGTACCACAATTCCTCCCTCCCATCCTTCCATTCCATTCCTTGTATTAGTGTTACTCATTTCACTTGTGTATAAGCATACATAATCTATCTGTGTGTATTTGTTATTGTCTATGAACTTCTTGGTCAGATCAATTAAGAATAAATACATAGGTTTTTATTGTACCACAATTCTTTCTTTAATGCTCTTTTTAAAAAAATGTTGATCCAGGTTTCAGTTATATATCTTTTGTTTCCCTCTAAAGAATTTCATTTAACATTTCTTGCAAGACAGGTCTCCTGGCAACAAGTTTCTTGAATTTTTATTTTTCTGAGGAAGGCCTTAATTCTCCTTCACTTTTGAAGGGTGGTTTCAGTGGGTACAGAAACTTAGGTTGGTGGGTTTTTTTCTGTCAACATTTTGAATTTTTCATTTCACTGTCTTGCTTTCACAGTTTCTGCAATGTTGAATGCAGTTCTTATCTTTGTGTCTCTGTAGGTAAGGTGTTTTCTGCCCCACTTCTGGTTTCTTTCAGAGTTTTCCTTTATCTTTTATTTCATATAGTTTGAAAATTATATGTCCAAGTGTAGGTTGTTGGCATTTATTCTGCCTGGTGTTCTCAGAGCTTCCTGGATCTTTGGTTTGGTGTCTGACATTAACACTGGAAGTTCTCAGACATGGTTGTTGCAGAACTTTCTTCTATTTCTTCTCCTCCTGGTATTCTCATTACTCTGTTTCACCTTTTGTAGTTGTCCCACAGTCTTGGATATCATCTTCTGTTCTTTTCAGTGTGTCTTTTCTTTAGTTTTCGAAATTTCTGATGATAAATCCTCAAGCTCAGAGATTCTTTACTCGGCTGAGTCCAGTCTACTAATAAGCCATCAGAGGTATTCTTCAGTTATTTACCACATTTTTTATCACTACATTATGTTGAAGGTTCTTACGATGTCTGTCTTTCTGATTACATTACCCATCTACACTTGAATGCTGTCTACTTCATTCGTTAGGTCCTTAGCATAGTCTCCAGAGGTTTAAAAAAAATTCCAAAATCATATCTTTGTCTGCTTCTGAAGCTTGCTCTGTTGACACAAATTGTAGTTTTTTCTTTTTTTGGATTTTAGTATGCCTTGCAATTTTTTCCCTTTATTCTCATGCATGAAGCACCCACTAAAAGTGACTGTTGTTAGTATAGCTTCAGTAATGCGGTGATGAGGTGACAGGGCAGGTGATGCTCTCTTAGTCTCTTTAGGCTACTATAACAAAATACTTTAGACTGAGTAATTCATAAACAACAGAGATTATTGCTCACAGATCTGGAGGCTGGAAAGTTCAAGACTAAAGGGCCAGGATATTTGGTGTTTGGTGAAGGTCAAACATTCAGACACTCGCAATGAATATAGCGACAGCAGCAGTCTTCAGGAATCCTATGTGAGGGACAAACACTCAGAAGCCAGCTGGAGTGTTCTAGAATCCTATGTGAGGGACAAACATTCAGACCCCAGCAGTAGTGTTGTGGAATCCTATGTGAGGGACAAACTTTCAAACCCTTGTAACAGTGTTCTGGAATCCTATATGAGGGACAAAAATTCAGAACCTCGTAGCAGTGTTCTGGAATCCTATGTGAGGGACAAACATTCAGAGCCCAGCAGCAGTGTTCTGGAATCCTATGTGAGGGACAAACATTCAGACCACAGCAGGAGTGCTCTGTAATCCTATGTGAGGGACAAACATTTCAAAACCTCATAGCAGTGTGCTGAAATGTTATGTCAGGGACAGACATTTAGACCCTCGCAGCAGTGTTCTAGAATCCCATCTGCGGGACAAACATTCAGACACTCGCAGCAGTGTTCTGGAATTCTATGTGAGGGACAGACATTCAAACCCCAACAGCAGTGTTCTAGAATCCTATGTGAGGGACAGACGTTCAGACCCCAGCAGCAGTGTTCTGGAATCCTATGTGAGGGGCAAACATTCAGACCCTCATAGCAGTGTTCTGGAATGCTATGTGAAGGGAAAACATTGAGACCCTCCTAACAGTGTTCTGGAATCCTATGTGAAGGACAGACATTTAGACCCTCGAAACAGTGTTCTGGAGTCTTAAGTGAGAGACAAACATTCAGACCCTCGTAGCAGTATTCTGGAATCCTTTTTGAGGGACAGACATTGAGAAACCAGCAGCAGTGGTCTGGAATCCTATTTTAGGGGCAAACATTCACACCCCAGCAACAGTGTTCTAGAATCCTATGTGAGGGGAAAACATTCAGACCACGGCAGCAGTGCTCAGGAATCCTATGTGAGGGACAAACATTCAAACCACAGCAGGAGTGTTCTGGAATCCTATGTGAAGGACAAACTTTCAGACCACAGCAGGAGTGTTCTTAAATCCTATGTGAAGGACAAACATTCAAACCCCAAGAGCACTGTTCTGAAATCCTATGATAAGGGCTAAAACTCAGACCCCAACATGAATGTTCTGGAATCCTATGTGAGGGACAAGCATTAAGACCATAGCAGGAGTATTCTGCAATCCTATGTGAGGGACAAACATTCAGACCCCAGAAGGAGTGTTCTGGAATCCTATGTGAAGGACAAACATTCAGACCCTCGTAGCAGTGTTCTGGAATCCTATGTGAGGGAAAAACTTTCAGACCACAGCAGGAGTGCTCGGGAATCCTATGTGAGGGACAAACATTCAGAACCTTGTAGCAGTGTTCTGGAATCCTATGTGAGGGACAAACATTCAGACCCTCCCAGCAGTCTTCTGGAATTCTATGTGAGGGACAGACATTCAAACCCCAGCAGCAGTGTTCTGGAATCCGATGTGAGGGACAGACATTCAGACCCCAGCAGCAGTCTTCTGGAATCCTATGTGAGGGGCAAACTTTCAGACCCTCGTAGCAGTATTCTGGAGTCCTATGTGAAGGACAGACATTTAGACCCTCGAAGCAGTGTTCTGCAGTCTTAAGTGAGGGACAAAAATTCAGACCCTCGTAGCAGTGTTCTGGAATCCTTTTTGAGGGACAGATATTGAGACCCCAGTAGCAGTGGTCTGGAATCCTATGTGAGGGACAAACATTCACACCCCAGCAATAGTGTTCTGTAATCATATGTGAGGGACAAGCATTCAGACCCCAGAAGCAGTGTTCTGGAATCTTGTGTGAGGGACAAACATTGAGACCCTCGTAGCAGTGTTCTTGAATCCTACGTGAGACACAAACATTCGTACCACAGCAGAAGTGTTCTGGAATCCTATGTGAGGGACAACCATTCAGACCACAGCAGGAGTGTTCTGGAATCCTATGTGAGGGACAAATATTCAGACCCTCATAGCAGTGTTCTGGAATCCTTTGGGAGGGACAAACTTTCAGACCCCAGCAGGAGGGTTCTGGAATCCTGTGTGAGGGACCAACATTCAGACCCTCGTAGCAGTGTTCTGGAATGCTATGTGAAAGGCAACCATTCAGACCCTCATAGCAATGTTCTGGAATCCTATGTCAGGGACATTCAGACCCCAGCCGCGGTGTTCTGGAATCCTATGTGACAGAGAAACATTCAGACCACAGCAGGAGCTTTCTGGAATCCTATGTGATGGACAAACTTTCAGGCCATAGCAGTAGTGTTCTGCAATCCAATGTGAGGGACAAACATTCAGAGCCCAGCAGCAGTGTTCAGGAATCCTATGTGAGGGACCAACAATCAGACCCTCGTAGCAGTGTTCTGTAATCCTATGTGAGGGACAAACATTCAGAACCCAGCCGCAGTGTTCTGGAAATCTATGTGACAAACATTCCGACCACAGCAGCAGTGTTCTGGAATCCTATGTGTGGTACAAACTTTCAGACCACAGCAGGAGAGTTCTGGAATCCTATGTGAGGGACAAACTTTCAGACCCCAGGAGCAGTGTTCTGAAATCCTATGTTCAGGGCAAGCATTTACATCCCAGTGTGAATGTTCTCGAATCCTAGGTAAGGGACAAACATTCAGACCACAGCAGGAGTGTTCTCGAATCCTATGTGAGGAACAAACATTTAGACCAAAGCAGGAGTGTTCTGGAATACTATGTGAGGGACAAACATTCAGACCCTCTTGGCAGTGTTCTGGAGTCCTATGTGAGGGACAAACATTCAGACCCTCTTAGCAGTGTTCTGGAATCCTATGTGAGGGACAAATATTCAGAACACAGCAGGAGTGCTCTGGAATCCTATGTGAGGGACAAACATTCAGAACCTCGTAGCAGTGTCCTGGAATCTTATATGAGGGAGAGACATTTAGACCCTCGCAGCAGTGTTCTGGAATCCCATGTGAGGGGCAAACATTCAGACCACGGAAGCAGTGTTCTGGAATCCTATGTGAAGGACAAACATTAAGACTCTCGTAGCAGTGTCCTGGAATCATATGTGAGGGACAACCATTCAGACACCAGCAGAAGTGTTCTGGAATCCTAGGTGTGGGAAAAACATTCAGAACCTAGTAGCAGTGTTCTGGAATCCTATGTGAGGGACATATTCAGACCACGGCAGCAGTGTTCTAGAATGGTATGTGAAGGACAAACATTCAGACCCTTGTAGCAGTGTTCCAGAATTCTGTGTGAGGGACAAACATTCAGACCCCAAGAGCAGTGTTCTGAAATCCTATGTTAAGGGAAACATTGAGACCCCAGCATGAATGTTCTGGAATCCTATGTGAGGGACAAATATTCAGACCATGGCAGGAGTGTTCTGGAATCTTATGTGAGGAACAAACATTCAGACCACAGCAGGAGTGTTCTGGAATCCTATATGAGGGATAAGCATTCAGACCCTCGTAGCAGTGTTCTGGAATCCTATGTGAGGGAGAAGCATTCAGAGCACAGCAGGAGTGCTCTGGAATCCTATGTTAGGGACAAACATTCAGAACCTCATAACATTGTGCTGGAAACCTATGTGAGGGACAGACATTTAGACCCTAGCAGCAGTGTTCTGGAATCCCATGTGAGGGTCAAACATTCAGATCCTCGCAGCAGTGTTCTGGAATTCTATGTGAGTGACACACATTCAGACTCCAGCAGCAGTATTCTGTATTCCTATGTGAAGGACAAACATTCAGAATCCAGGAGCAGTGTTTTGAAATCATATGTTAAGGGCAAACATACAGACCCTAGCATCAATGTTCTAGAATCATATGTGAGGGACATACATTCAGACTCTCGCAGCAGTGTTCTGGAATCCTATGTGGGGGACAAACATTCAGACAATGGCAGCAGTGTTCTGGAATCCTATGTGAGGGACAAACACTCAGAGCCTTGTAGCAGTGTTCTGGAATCCTATGTGAGTGAGAGTGCCTGGAGCCTACCCAACCTGACGCCCCCAAAGCCCTCACAGGGTCTGACCTCCCAGCATGCACCTGCCTCTCTCTGAACCCCAACTGCCCACCCTGCCTGTTCCCTGGCCCCCTCCATCCTGTGCAGCCCATAGACTGTGACCATCTCTCCAGCCACTCTGGTCTTTCCTTTACCTTTGTCCTGTCAGAATCTCTGAGCAGGATCTCCCAAGTCCATCCAAACACGTGCTTTGTCCACTTTTGACTAGGCCCTTGGGCATCACTGGGCTATCCCAGCTGTCCACAGGGCCTTCAATAATGCACATTGCACCTGGCTTATCCAAGCAGTGCTCAGCAGCCCACATTGACCAGGTCCCTGCTGACCAGACCACGCACATCAGGTCCTCCCTGACAGCACCCTCACTGATTAGACCCTCATGACCAGGCCCCACTAACAAGGCCCCCACTGCCAGGCACACAATGACAAGGACTCCACTGACCAGGACCTTACTGACAAGGCCTCACTGACAAGGCCTCACGGACCAAGTCCTTACTGACAAGTCCTCACTGACTAGGTGATTATTGATAAGGCCTCACTGATCAGGTTCCACTGATCATGACCTCATTCCCTGGCCCCAAAGATGAGGCCCCACTGACCAGGCCTCCAGGGAACAGGTTGTCACTGATCAGGCCCCTAATAACCAGGCCTAAGGTCACCAGATGCCCCTGACTGGGACCCTAGTGAGTAGACCCCACTGAACCAGCACCAAATGCTGAGATCCCTGCTGACCAGGTCACCCTGTAGACCAGTGCTACAAAAGTCACCACTGACCAAGTCCTCTCTGACCAGGACGCTACGGATTAGGTCCCACTGACAAGGGCCTCACTGATGAGGACACACCCACCAGGGTCTGCTGACTAGGTCCCATGTGCCCAGTCCTCCACTGAATAGCACCCCTTGACCTGGTCACCAGTGCCCCAGCCCATGCTGACCAGACCAGCACTGAGCCCCAGCTGACCAGGTCTCCACTGATCAAGCCCCACAGCCCAGGTTTGCACTGACCAGACACCAAACAACTGGAAGCCAATAGGTCCCCACTCACCAAAACCCCCACTACTAGACCCCACTAATGAGACCCTCTCTAAGCAGACCTCTGCTGACCACGATCCCACTAAATAGTCCTCACTGACCTAGGTCCACTGACCAGGCCCACACTGATCAGGCCCCTCCTAACCACACCGGAAATCCAAGGGGCAATGACAAGTTTCATATGGCAAAAGTTGGAACAAGACAGAGAGAGGAAAGAGGTTCCACAGCCTTTTAAACTACTAGATCTCATGAGAACTCACTCACTATCAGGAGGATGGCATTAACGGCTTGCTGCTTTGCCATTTGTGAAGGATCCACTCCCACCCCTTTATGATTAAAGCTTTTTCCACCTAGGCCCCGACTCTAACATTAGGGAGTGTACTTTCACATGAGTTTTGGAAGGGGCATAGAGAAAAACCGTATTATTCTGTCCCTGACCCCACAAATCTCATGTCCTTCTCACACTGCAAAATACAGTCATGCCCTGCCAGCAGTCTCACAAAGTCTTAACTCATTTCAGCATTAACTCATAGTTACAAAGTCCAAAGTCTCATCTGGGTCAAGGCTACATTCTCTTTTGCCTACGAGTCTCTGAAATAAAAAGCAAGTTCACTGCGTCTAAGGTACAATGATGGTACAGGCATTTTGTAAGCTTTCCATATCCAAAAGGGAGACATTTTCCAGAAAGCTTCTTATTTTTATCTGAGGCCCTCTCAGCCTGGCCTTCACTGTCCATGTTTTTGTCAGCATTCTTGTCACAGCCATTTAACCAGTCTCTAAGATGGTCCAAAAATGCTCTCATCTATCTGTCTTCTTTGGAGCCCTCCAAACTCTTCCAACCTCTACCCATTACCGAGTTCCGAAGTTGCTTCCACATTTTCAGGTATCTTTATAGCAATGCTGCAGTCCTCATTTGCCATTTTTGGTAAGATTTATTTTGAAAAAGAGGTTTAATTGGCTCATGGTTCTGCAGAGTGGACAGGCAGCTTAGTGCTTCTGCTTCTGGGGGGCCTCAGAAATCTTTCAATCATTGTGCAAGGTAATGAAAGAGTGAATTGTCTCACATGGCAAGAGGAAATCACGGAGAGTAGGGAGTGATATAGAGTTTTCAGTGGCCAGATCTCACGAGAATTCACTCATAATTGTGAGGACAGTACCAAGGGGATGGTGCTGAACCACTCATGAGAAATTCGCCTTCATGATTCAATCACCTTATACGAGGATCCACCTCCAACATTAGGAAGCATAACTCAACATGAGATTTGGTGGGGACACATATTCGAATTGCCTCATCAGTCTTTGAGTATAAAGACATCCATAGCAGGCTTTATCCAGCCAACTTCTTTGGGATTCTTTATAGGGTTTCAGGTCTATAGCATATCCACTAAAATATCCCTACTTCAAAAGGCAATAAAGTAAGTGGTATTATCATTCTTCAAAAAGTTATAATGGTAGTGTAGGCATTCATAGTATGATTTAGTTCATTTGCCACTCTTTCTATTCTATCACCATATTAACCCTTTCCTACACAATTCTATATTCAGCTGGGTTTCAGTTGAGCACAAAGTCATCCTTGTACTACCACCGATAGCTGGCACTAGCTCTTTGATACTGTTATCATTCTGCTGTAGAAAGTACCCGTGAACTGGAAAAAGTCCACAATCGAATAGCTAGTCATTCAACACTATCAAATTTTAGGTGACTTTTTGAAAAAATAGTATCTCTTGTTGCAAGAAATGCTCCATCTGTGATTTCAAGTCTCTCACTCGAGTGAATTGGATGGAAGTGGTGAATTTCAGCCAAAGTGGCCAAAGAAATCCTGTTCCTGTGATAATGACACCATCAGCCTCTGCACCTCTGTCTTCCCTTCTGCCACATGTTGCCTGTTCTCCGTGACTTTGGTAAGAGCTTCCTTGTGTATGAGGATGATGTCCAGGATGTTGGTCTGGTGTCCCTGAGACAGCACTAACAGGTCCCTGGCTGGGTCCAGGTCCTTCCTGGACTGATTGGCAAGGAGCTTACTGATGTTCTTGAAGGCATCTCTGGTGAAGTGGATGGCCTAGTCAAGTTCCAAGGCCTGGCTGAGGCTGAAGAAAAACTGGCCATCTTCTGATGCTCTTTCTAAAAGCCTGTCACTGTCATCTGCTTGCTTGTCAACTCATTGGCTGTGAGGTTGAGCTGAGTGGCCTGTGTCCATCTTCTTGGGGAAGCATTTGAAGCCATCAGTCTTGCTCTCCCACCCCTAAAGGTTGATGGTCACCACCTGGGGTTGTACTGAGGGTCAGAAAGAAGCCGGCACTCACTATCTCATCCTTCTCAGCCTTCCTCTTGCACTCTCTCCAGGCTGTCTCTTCAGTGCTGGTGGGATACATCAGAAAGTGATGGAAGATGTGGCACTGTGCCCACACCCAGAAGCTGGCCATGTGGTTGGCTCATCCACCAGAATGGATGCTCTGGGTGCTCTTTGAGCCAGCTTGGCCTTGCCTGGCATGCACAGGCCCCAGGTACCGACATGTTGCTCCGAGTGAGCTTGTCCTGCTTTGGACCAAATTCTGTCAGGCCAGGGCCACAAAAGGCCGAGTCCCACGGGTGGTAATCCTGGCTGCTTTCTGCACTTCCACATAAAGACCTCCTGAAGATGGCCTGTGGTCTACCTCTTTGCAACCAAGAAGCCCGCAGTGCCATATGAACCCTCAGGCATGGACTGGAGCCCCCAAGGAAGCACACACCCTGCTCCTGAGTCTGCTGCTCATTTTCTCTGTGTGGCTCCATTTGTGTCACAGTTGTTGCACAGACTTGAGCATGCCGGGCAAGGCCAAGCTGGCTCAAAAAGTAACCAGCCACCTCTGCAAGGTTGTGCCAGGAGCCGGTGGACCGGCCACCAACGTCACTCGCTGCTGGTAAGGTTACATCAGTTCTTCTACCCTAGAGGTAGGGCCCCAGTGCCATATGCTTTTCCTCAGGCCTCTGCTCTATCAGTCATAGGCGGCAACCACACAGGCTGTGGGAACATGGCCATCCCTCCTTCCTTGAGTAGCTGAGGTTGCTGGCTTGTCTGCCTGCTACAGGCACAGCCTTGTAGAGGTGGCTAGTTGCTCTGAGCCAGCTTGGCCTTGTCTGACATGCATAGGCCCCAGGTACTGACACTCTGCTCCGAGTAAGCTTGTCCTGCCTTGGGTCAAATTCTAAATCTGGCCAGGGCCACAGAAGGCCCAGTCCCTTGGGTGCTAATCTTGGCTGCTTTCTGCACTTGAACATAAAGTCCTCCTCAAGACAGCCTGTGTTCTGCCTCTTGGCGACCAAGAAGCCTACAGTGCCATATGAGCCCTGAGGCATGGACTGGAGCCACAAAGGCAGTGCACGCCCCGTTCCTGAGCCTGCTGATCATTTCCTCTATATGGCTCCATTTGTAGCACACTTGTTGCAGTGAGGCTTGTGCATGCCAGGCAAGGCCAAGCTGGCTCAAAGAGCAAGCAGCCACCTCTGCAAGGGTGTGCCAGGCGCAGATGGTCCAGCCGCCAACCTCACTCACTGCCAGACGTGGTACATCAGTTCTTCTACCCTAAAGGTGGGGCCAAGAGGCAGACCACAGGCCGTCTTGAAGAGGACTTTATGTTCAAGTGCAGAAAGCAGGCAGGATTACCACCCTGGGTACTCGCCCTTCTGTGGCCCGCAGTGCCATATGAGCCCTGAGGCATGGACTGGTGCCATCTGCTTCATACAAAAATTAACTTAAGATGGATTAAAGAGTTAAATATGCCACCTGCTTTTCCTCAGGCCTCTGCTCCATCAGGCATCAGGTGGCAGCTACTCATGCTGTTGGAACCTGGCCATCCGGGCTTCCTTGAGCGGGTGAGGTTGCTGGCTTGTCCGCCTGCTACAGGCACAGCCTTGCAGAGGTGGCTGGTTGCTCTGAGCCAGCTTGGCCTTGCCTGGCATGCATAGGCCCCAGGTACTGACACTCTGCTCCGAGCCAGCTTGTCCTGCCTTGGGCCAAATTCTAAGTCTGGAGAGGACCACAGAAGGCAGAGTCCCCTGGATGGTAATCCTGACTACTTTCTGCACTTGAACATAAAGTCCTCCTCAAGACAGCCTGTGGTCTGCAGCTAGGCAACCAAGAAACCCGCAGTGCCATAGGAGCCCTGAGGCATCGACTGGAGCCCCAAAGGCAGGGCACACCCTGCTTCTGAGCCTGCTGCTCGTTTCGGCTATGTGGCTCCATTTGTTGCACAGTTATTACACTGAGGCTTGGGCATGCTGGGCAAACTCCAAGCCACTTAGAATTTGGTCCAAGGCAGAACAAGTTCACTGGGAGCAGCGTGTCGGTACCTGGGGCCTATGCATGCCAGGCAAGGCCAAGCTGCCTTAAAGAGCAAACAGCCTCCTCTGCAAGGGTGTGCCAGGAGCCGGTGGACCCACCACCAACCTCACTCACTACCGGTCAGGGTACATCAGTTCTTCTACCCTAGAGGTAGGGCCCAACTGCCATCTGCTTTTCCTCAGGCCTCTGCTTGATCAGCCATCAGGCGGTGGCCACTCATGCTGTGGGAACCTGGCCATCCCTGCTTCCTTGTGTAGCTGAAGTTGCTGGCTGCTCCACCTCATCCAGGAGCACCCTTGCAGTGGTGGCTGGTTGCTCTTTGAGCCAGCTTAGCCTTGCCTAGCATGTACAGGCCCCAGCTACTGACACACTACTCCGAGTGAGCTGGTCCTACTTTGAGCCAAATTCTAAGTCTGGCCGGGGCCACAGAAGGCCGAGTCCCCTGGGTGGTAAACCTGGCTGCTTTCTGCCCTTGAACATAAAGTCCTCCTCGGCTGGTCTATGGTCTACCTCTTGGCAACCAAGAATCCTGCAGTCCCATACAAGCCCTGAGGCATGGACTGGAGCCCCAAAGGCAGTGCACACCCTGCTTCTGAGCTTGCTGCTCATTTCCTCTGTGTGGCTCCATTTTTAGCAAAGTTGTTGCATTGAGGCTTGTGTATGCCGGGCAAGGCCAAGCTGGCTCAAAAAGCAACCAGCCGCGTTTGCAAGGGTGTGCCTGAAGTGATTGGACTAGCCATCAACGTCGCCCACTCAAGGAAGCAGGGAATGCTTGTTTGTACCATGCATTTCACTACAGGTCATTTCCCCTGAGGTTGGTGGCCTAGGTTTTCTTCTAGATTTTTTATGGTTTTAGGTCTTACTTCTAACTCTTTCATCCATCTTACTTAATTTTTGTTTAAGGTGTGTGGTTGTGGCCCAGTTTCAGTTTTCTGCATTTGGCTAGCCAGTTTTCCCAACACCATTTATTAAATAGGGTATCCTTTCCCATTGCTTGTTTTTGTCAGGTTTGTCAAAGATCAGATGCTTTTAGATGTGTGGTGTCATTTCTGAGGGCTCTGTTCTGTTCCATTGGTCTATAGATCTGATTTGTTACCAGCCCCATGCTGTTTTGGTTACTGTAGCCTTGTAGAATAATTTGAAGTCAGGTACTGTGATGCCTCTAGCTTTGCTGTTTTTGCTTAGGATTGTCTTGGCTATGTGGGCTCTTTTTTGGTTCCATATGAAATTTAAAGTAGTTTTTCTAATTCTGTGAAGAAAGTAATGGTAACTTGATGGGGACAGCAATGAGTCTATAAATTACTTTGGGTGGTATAGCAGTCAGGCACAGAAATGTCCTTGTGTTAGGCAATACCATTCAGGACATAGCCATGGGAAGAGTCTTCATCACTAGAACACCAAAAGCAATGGCTACAAAAACCAAAATTTACAAATGGGATCTAACTAAACTTAAGAGTATCTGCAGCGCAAAAGAAACTATTATCAGAGTGAACAGGCAACCCACAGAATGGGAGAACATTGTTGCAATCTATCCATCTGACAAAGGGCTAATATGCAGAATCTACAAAGAACAAATTTACAAGAAAAAAAAACCATCAAAAAGTGAGCAAAGGGTATGAACAGACACTTACCAAAGAAGACATTTATACAGCCAACGAACATGTGAAGCAAAGCACATCATCACTGGTCATTAGAGAAATGGAAATCAAAACCACAATGAGATACAATCTCAGACCACTTAGAATGGTCATCGTTAAAAAATCAGGAAAGAACAGATGCTAGAGAGGATGTGGAGAAATAGGAAAGCTTTTACACAGTTGGTGGGAATATAAATTACTTCAACCATTGTGGAAGACAGTGTGACAATTCCTCAAGGATCTGCAACCAGAAATATCATTTGACCCAGCAATCCCATTACTGGGTATATACCCCTAAAATTATAAATCATACTAATATAAAGACACATGCACCTGTCTGTTTATTGTGGCACTGTTCACAACAGCAAAGACTTGGAACCAACCCAAATGCCCACCAATGATAGACTGGATAAAGAAAATGTGGCATATATACACCACGAAATACTATGCAGCCATAAAAAGGGATGAATTCACGTCATTTGCTGGGACATGAACGAAGCTGGAAACCATCATTTTCAGCTAACTAACAGAAGAACAGAAAACCAAACACCACATGTTCTCATTCATAACTGGGAGTTGAACAATGGGAACACATGGACACAGGAAGGGGAACATCACACACTAGGGCCTGTCAGGGTGGGGGGCTAGGAGAGGGATGGCATTAGGAGAAATAACTAATGTAGATCATGGGTTGATGGATGCAGCAAGCCACCATGGCATGTGTATACCTATGTAACCTGCATGTTCTGCACATGTACCCCAGAACTTAAAGTACAATTAAAAAAAAAAGAAATTTGCTTTTAATTAAGCTTTTAATCATAGAACTTGTGAAGAAAATCCTTTTGAATCTTTTATTACCACATCATAGCTGGGACAAACTGCTGACGCTTTAAAAGTAACACAAATATCAAACAGGAAGAACTAGACTTAGGAACCAAACTCAGGTTTCTGTAGTGAACAGGGCACAATCTTCACATTGGGTCACCACCACTACTCCTTCAGTTTAGCCTTGACTAGCAAAAGGGTGGCCTTGTTATGTAGATGAGACCACTTATGTAAAAAAAAAAAAGTTTTAAAAAATAATTTCTGCTAACTGGAATGTTTTTTGTTGTTGTTTATTTGTTTGTTTGTTTGTTTGCAGCCATAGGAGTTTTAGCCAATTCAGAGGGCTTGCTCCCCACAATTTGGAAAATTCCTTTGGATTTGACCAAGTCAGGAAGAGAAGGGAGAAAAGTGAAACAACAACAATAAAGCCCCAAGCATAAACAAACAAAAAGAGTTAAGCAAAACAACAAATGCACAATTCATATGATTACTGAGTGTTCTAATGGTAAGGAGAAACTAAAAGCAGAAATTAAAAGCAGCTGGTGAGTAATCTTAAATTTTAGTCATTAAGGAAAAATTTTAAGACAAAACTCTAATTCAGCTACTTACCTGGAAACAAGGCTCAGGCTGGTGATCGTTCTCTGCCATGTTAGAAGCTGGAAACAACTTACACTCACCTTCCCTGTCAGAAGCAAGCTGAAACTCAGGAAAGGAGGTGCCTGCTCTCCATCACCACAGAAGCAGGAAAACTTGCCTTCCTTGTTGGAAATGAGTAAAACTTCAGAAAAGGAGTTGTACAGAAAAATCAAACTTAGATCTCAACCAGATTTTGGGAGATCAGGGACTCTTTGCAGGGGAGAAGCTCCACAACCTCAGCAAATTATCCTGTTGGTTTGGGCAATAAAGATAGCCCAGGTTGGTATCAATCAATAATGAGATTTATCAAAGGTCAGGACCACCTTTGTAATGACCTTCTCTGTCTTTTTTTATCTTTATTGGTATATACGTTTTGTCGAAACTGGGAGTGTAACACCTGATTTCTTCTGTTTTCCATTTGCTTGAAAGATTTTTCACCATTCCTTCATTTTGAGCCTATGTATGGCACTGCATGTGAGATGGGTTTCTTGGAGACAGCATACTCAAATGGGTCTTGGTTCTTTATCCAGCTTGCCCCCTGTGTCTTTCAATCGGAGCATTTAGCCCATTTCCATTTAAGGTTAGTAATGGTATGTGTGGATTAGATCCTGTCGTCATGCTGTCAGCTAGTTATTTTGCAGACTTGTGTATGTGGTTGGTTTTTAGCATTACTGGTCTGTGTACTTCGGTGCATTTTTGTAGTGGCTGGTGATGGTCTTTTCTTTCCATATTTAGTGCCTCATTCAGGAGCTCTTGTAAGGTAGATCTGGTGATAATGAATTCTCTCAGCATTTGCTTGTCTGAAAAGGATCTTGTTTCTCCTTCACTTATGATGCTTAATTTTGCTGGACATGAAATTCTGGGTTGAAATTTCTTTTTCTTTTAACCATTTATAATAACACCATGTTATTATATGGTATATCTGTCTCTGCCATACTACGTGAAATTTCTTTTCTTTAAGAAGTTGAATATCTTTTCTGGCTTGTAGGGTTTCAGCTGAGAAGTCTGCTAAGTCTGATGGAATTCCCTTTGCAGGTGACGTTGCCTTTCTCCCTAGCTGCCTTTAACATTATTTCTTTCATTTTGACCTTGGAGAATCTGATGATTATATGTCTTGGGGATGATCTTCTCGCGGCTTATCTTACTGAGGTTCTCTGGATTTCCTGAATTGGAATGTTGGCCTGTCTGGATAGGTTGGGGATATTCTCATGAATGATATTCTGAAGTATGTTTTCCAAGTTGGTTCCATTCTCCTCATCTCTTTCACGTACACTAATCAGTCATAGATTTGGTCGTTTATATAATCTCATATTTCTTGGATGTTTTGTTCATTCATTTTCCTTCTTTTTTCCCCCATTCTTGTCTGCCTGTTTTATTTCAGAAAGCCAGTTTTCAAGCTCTGGGATTCTTTCCTCTGCTTGGTCTATTCTGCTGGGTGGTCTTGCACATGAGATGGAGCTGGTTTGACCTCAGCCCTCCTTAGTCTGCTTGCCTCTCCCAGGACCCCAGCCTGGCCACACCTGCTTACAGGGCAATCTCAGGTGCCCACACACACTACAATAATTTTCATAATGCAATCACACATAATCACTATGTGACTGCATTATGAAAATTCTTGTAGTGTGCTTTTCAGCTCTATTAGGTCGGTTGTGTCTTCTTTATACTTGCTATTTTGTCTGTTAGCTCCTACAATGTGTTACAATGATTTTTAGCTCACTTGTATTGCATGACAACATACGTCTTTCACTCAGTGAACTTTGTTCCTACGCATATCCTGAACCCTGCTTGTATCATTCCAGACATCTCAGCCTCAGCCCAGTTCTGAACACTTGCTGGAGAGTTGATACAGTCATTTGGAGGAAAGAAAGCATGCTGACTTTTGGAGTTTTCAGTGTTCTCGCACAGATTCTTTCTCATCTTTATGGGCTTATCCACCTTCCATCTTTGAGGTTGCTGACCTTCGGACAGGGTATTTTTGTTTTATTGTATTTGATGATCTTGAGGGTTTCATTGTGGGATAAGGTGGATTCAACCAACTGGCTTTGTTTTTGGAGGATTTTAGGGGGGCCAATGTGCAGCTTCCAATTCCTGGACTGTGTGCTTTAACTCTGGGGAACTTGTCTTGGGTCCCAACTTTGTTCTCTGGCTCTTGGAGGTTTGGAGTCCACTGCACTGAGGGGACAAAAGTGTGGCAACTGTGGCAGAATGCTAGTGGATGCAAAAGTCCCTGCCTCCCTGCGGGCGTTCACCCAGTGGTGGAGGCAAGACAGCTGGGGTGTGGGCCAGGGGTCCCCTGCTGTGTGTGTGTTGCACTGGAGGTAGTGTTGGTTCAGGGTGGGCTGCTGGCCAGTACAGGCCATGGTGCCTTCTCTGTGCCCCTCAAAGCAACAGTGGTCACTCAGGGTATAAGAAGGTCCCTTTTTCTCTGCACAGCATTAGCTCAAGGGTTAGGTGCTGGCAGGGGTGGGGTTCTTGGTTCTGTGCCCACCAAGGCTCTGTCTTCAATGGCAGTTGGTGTGGGTTGGGGTGTGTCCTGCACTCCCCTGTGCTGTCAGGGCAAGTACAGCAAAACCCACATGTGGAAACACACACAGCAAAGTGATGTAGGAAGTTTCCATATAAAGGGCTGCAGTATGGAGAGGTAATGTGCAGGCTGGTGCGTGGCTGTTGGGGCCACCTTGCTGCAGCTCTCCACTGATCAGGTACAGTCCACTAGCACGGAAGCTATGCTGTGGGCATCCGAGAGTGCCCTGTATGCAGATGTGGCCAGGCTGGGGTCCTGGGAGAGGCAAGCAGACAAAGGAGTGCTGATATCAGACCAGCCCCATCTCATGTGCAAGACTGCCCAGCAGAGATCAGGTCTCAGAGGAGAACTCTCTCAAAAGTGAACCCCCGGCACAGCATAGCTGCTTTACACAAACATGGTCAGGCTTCTTTTTTAAGCAAGTCCCCTTTTTGAGGAGGGGAACTCTGGGACCTGGTCTCTGCTGGGCAATCCTGAACATGAGATGGGGCTGATCTGAACTTAGCATTCCTAAAGTGCTGGGATAAAGTGTCTCACAAGGGCACGTGGAGCCTAGAGAGATAGCTGTCCCTGCCCTCTGGGCTCCACATCACCTGACTTGCTGCTCCACCACTCTGCTTGTCTCCTGGGTGCTCCATCCCATAGAGATGTGAGTTAGCAATCACTTAGCGTAATCAGCCCAGGATGGAGGGTCTGTGTTCTGAGGCCAAGCCAGTGTTCCCTCTCTGGTGATGAGCAGTGGGGGGTGTGTGGTACCCGTGGGAGATGGACTGGCTTGTTCATTGGGTCAACCGCAGCTTATTGGAGGTGTCAATATGGCACTTAGGGTCTTTGCTCCCTTGATATTCTGAGGGTAGCAAGGGCAGTTTCACTGCGGAGGCAATGACAGAGAGAATTTCGTTTGCTCCTGGAAGCTCTGTCCAGGGAATTGCTGAGTTGCTACTGGCTGGATAGTTCCAATGGTGGACTGGCTGGAGACCCAGGTCAGTAGGACCTGCCCATCAAGTAGACTGTCTGGCCACTTTTCTGTCAGGCTGCTGTGGTATGCTGGGGGTCCCCTCCAGTCCCTAACTGCCTTGTATTTTCCAGGGAAGATGATAGCCTGCCCCTTCCTCTGGGAGCTCTGTGCCACTGAGGTACGAACTTGTTGCCAGTATGAACGCACCTATAAGATGTGACTGGAGACAAGTTGAGAAGTCTTATCTAGTCAGGAGGAACAAAAACAGGCACTGAGTTAAAAAAAAAAAAGTCTGGGCACGTTTTTCTAGAGCAGCTGTGCTATGCTGGGTGTTCACTTCCGCTCCTGGTTGCCTCAGACACTCTGAAGCCCTAATGCTGAAATGGCTGAGTTGCCCCAACAGCAAAGACAACAGTCTGGTCCTCCCCCTGGGAGCTCTGACTCAGGGAGGCCTGAAACCTCTGTCGGCCAGAGAACAGCAGTGAAGGCAGCTGGAGACCTTGGTTGAAAGGCTTCACCTGCTGATTAGAAATGTGGTCGGGGACTGACTTAAACAAGAGTCTGGCCACGTTTTCGTAGTGTGGCCGTGCTCCGCTGAGGTTCCTCTTCCACCCCTTGTCACCTTGGGCTTTCCAAAGCCCGCAAACCAGAACGGCTAGTCACCCAAACAGCAAAGGTGGTGGCCTACCCCTCTCTCTGGGAGCTCTGTCCCATGAACACTTCAAATTTCTATTGGCCAAGGAATGCTGGTGGCGGTAGCTGGAGGCCCCATTTGGGAGGTCCTGTACAATGATGTGCAACAGGGTCGGGGGCCTGCTTACAGAAGCATTCTGGCCATGATTTGGTAAAGCAGCTATGCTGTGCTGTGGGATCTCTTCTGCCCCTTGTCGGTTTATACTCTCCAAAGCCCTCAGGCTGGAATGACTAAGTTGCCTGAACAGGAAAGATGGCGGCCTGCCCCATCTATTCTCTCAGAGTTCATCTTGTTTGATGGAGTTTAATTTTTAGCCTGTTAATTTTACTGTCTACATTAGACTTGTTCGGAAAGAATCTGCTATATTTTAGGTTAGATATATGAGAATTCATTGTTTACTGTAAATAAACCTGTTCATGTCTTGTTCTCTGGAAAGAAATCTCTTTCAACTATCTGACGTTGGTCACAGTCATGTAGAGCAGTAGCCAGTCTATAATGACATAATTGAATTTCCATTTCCAGTGTTTTGTTTTTGGGTCTTACATTGTACAGTTCAGAAATGAGCATTTTATTCCCAATTGTCAAAATGCTAAGCTGTCCACTGTACTGAAATACTGTTTTTGTTAATGCTTCGTCATTCAATTTTTTTTAAGGTGAACACTTTTATCCAACTTTTCTCAAGTCAGAGTACAGGTAAGCCCTGGCTGCCTCGAGCCACTCTCAGGGAGACCAAAACCCTTCATACATTCCAAGTTGGGATACAAAAAAGTGGGGCCATGAAGGCTAGTCATTCAAAATAAAACAAAATTTAAAAGTATTAAGGCAAAGATTTAAAAAAATTTGCATTACGTAATTTACACAAAAGCAATGCTATCGCCTACCATGTGTGAACTCGGGAGAGGACTGGGCCATTCTCCTTAGAGAGAAGTAGGGTGGCTTTTAGGAGGGCAAGGGGCTTCCTGAAACAGTGCATCTCACAATATTTGGAATGACTATTGAAAAGAAGAACATTGTACAATCAAAGTCCTTGGCAACATTGTAGAACTAGCGGGTGCTGACCCCTGAGCCACAGCCACAGTTCTGGGTTTGGGGTTTGGTAAAACCACCCCAAGGACAGAGTTCTGGGGCCAGGTTTTGGAGGAACCAAGGCGCCTCTCAGGGATGGTGTGTCACTCCTGCTTGCCATGAAATGTGCACACAGGCTGTCCCCCTGCCCATCCCATCCTGCTGGACAGGATGGAGGAACTGAGGGAACAGGCAGGGTGGACAGCTGGAATTCAGGGAGAGGCAGGTGCATGCTGGGAGGTCAGGACCTGTGAGGGCTGTGGGGGCATCAGGTGGAGTTGGCTCCATGTGCACCCTCAGTGCACAGGGCAGGTCTCAGGCCAGGCTCCCTGGACCCCGGCTGGGTGATGTGGTCACTCCCTGGGGGACTGCTCTCAGACCCTGGCCACCCTCCCTGGGCAGCGCCGTCCCATCCCAGAACTGGACTTTCTGAGTCCTAAAACAGGACAGTGCTGCCCAGGCCTGACAGACTGGGAGGACCTGTGAAGTCCTCCATCCCTAGACCAGCCTCCCAACAGCAGGGACAGTCTCCTACCTTTACCTTCAGGGCACTGACTGATACATCTCATTCTAAGGCAACCAAGGCAGACCTGAGGACCTGTGCCAGGCTGGGAGCCAGTCCTCTCCCTAAATGGGCCTTAGGGAAGCCTCATGCCTGTCCCAATGCACTGCAAGTTTCAGCCCAGGAGACACATAGGGAAGTGAGGACGGGGCCTCCCCACTGGCTGACCCTGGAAAAGCGGGACCAGGGAGAAGAGGGAGTGCAGGGCTGGCAGGGGATGCTCCAGGCCCATGGAGAGCTCAGGCTGCACCAAGGGGCTTCCCCTCCTGGGCTGGAGGCTGTGCCCTCTGCAGTATCTGAGGAAGTCCAGTCCTGAGATGGGACAGTGCTACCCAGAGTGGGTGGCCAGCACCTGACAACAGTCTCCCAGCAAGTGACCACATCACCCAGCCAAGGTCCAGGGAGCCTGGGCCAAGACCTGCCCAGTGCGCTGAGGGTGCACCTGGAGCCCACACCACCTGACGCCCCCACAACCCTCATAGGGTCTGACCTCCCAGCATGCACCTGCCTCTCCCTGAAACCAAGCTGCCCACCCTGCCTGTTCCCTGGCCTCCTCCATCCTGTGCAGACCATAGACTGTGACTATCTCTCCCACCACTCTGGCCCTTCCTTTACCTTTGTCCTGTCAGAATCTCTGAGCAAGATCTCCTAGGTCCATCCAAACACCTGCTTTGTCCACTTTTGACTGGGCCATTGAACACCACTGGGCCACCCCAGCTGTCCACAGGTTCCTCGATAACATGCATTTCCCCTGACATCTCCCAGCAGTACTCAGCAGCCCCCACTGACCAGGTCCCTGGTGACAAGTTCCAGCATATCACTTCCTCCCTGACCACACCCTCACTGATTAGAGCCCCATCACCAGGCCTCACTAACTAGATTCCCGCTGCCAGGCCCACAATGTCCAGGACTCCACTGACGAGGACCTTACTGACAAGGCCTCACTGACGAGGTCCTTACTGACAAGGCCTCACTGATCAGGTTCCACCGATCATGACCCCATTGTCTGGTCCCACAGACGAAGCCCCACTGACCAGGCCTGCAGGGAATAGGCAGCCAGTGACCAGGCCCCTGCTAACCAGGACTGAGGTGACAAGATGCCCCTGACTGGGGCCCTAATGACTACGCCCCACTGAACAGGCACGCACTGCTCAGATCCCCGCTGACCAGGTCACCCCGTAGACCAGTGCTACAAAAGCCACCAATGATCAAGTCCTCTCTGACCAGGCCCCCACTGATTAAGTTCCACGGACCAGCCTGCCCTGACCAGGGCCCCACTGACAAGCGTCTCTGCTGACTAGGTCCCAAGGTCTCCACTGACCAAGTCCCACAGCCCAGGTTGGCACTGACCAGACACCAAACATTTGTCTACCACTATCAACCCACTCAACAAGACATGCACTACTAGATCCCTCTAATGAGACCCGCTCTAAGCAGACCCCTGCTGACCACCCCCCACTAAATAGGCCTCACTGACAAGTCCCAACTGACTAGGTCCCCTGAGCAGGCCCACACTGATCAGGCCCCTCCTAACCATATCAGAAGACCAAGAGGCAATGAGATGTTTCATATGGCAGGAGTAGGAGAAAGACAGAGAGGGGAAAGAGGTGTGACATCCTGTTAGACAACCAGATCACATGAGAACTCACTATCAGGAGATCAGCATCAAGAAGACTAACCAATGGTGAAGGATTCTCCAACCACACCACTGGCCACTGCTTCCAGGCAGAAGCCTCCTGCAGAGGCAGAACCTCTTATGAAACTTCCACTATGGCAGTGCAGAAGGAAAATATAGGCTTTGAGCCCCCACACAAGAGGCCATGATCCTCCAGACTCCAGATTAATAAGCCCACCAACAGCTCACATTCTGAGTATGGAAAAGCTACAGGCACTCAACACCAACCCAGCCCATGAGAGCAGCCATGGGGGCTACACCCTGCAAAGCCACAGGTGCACTCTCCTAGTAGAGGTTTCCCATGAGCCTCTGCCTCTGCAGCAGGTTGCTCCCACCCTCCCACCACCCTACTGACAACCTACTCCTCCCCACACTATCCCTCCTTTTCCTTCCACCCCAACCCCCTCCCATCCAAGATTAAGTCACCTCCCACCTGGCCCACCTCCAACATTAAGGATGACACGTGAGTTTTATAGGGACACACAGCCAACCCATATTATTCTGACCCTGATTCCCCAGAACCTCATGTCCTTCTCACAGAGCAAAACACAATCATGCCTTTTCAAAAGTTTCCAAAAGTCTTAACTCATTCCGAATGTAAAAATTTCAAAATCTCATCTGAGACAAGGTTACAGTTCCTTCTGCCAATGAGTCCCTGAATTTAAAAGGGATTTCTTTTCCTTCAAGGTAGAACAGGCATTGGGTAAGGTTTCTCAATCCAAAGGGAAGAAGTTGCTCAGAAAAATAACACAAATGCAAGTCCAAAACCCAGCAGGACAGTATTCACTCAATCTCACAGCTCCAAAATCATCAAGAGAACTCACTGTCGTGCGGACAGCATTAAGGAGATAGTGTTTACTCATTTGTGAAGAATCTGCCCCCCACCTTCACCTTTCACTCCCACCCACAAAATAATCTCTCCCATTCTCCCCACACCCCTACCTCCAACACCCACTCTTCTCCATGATTAAATCACCTCCCACCAGGTCCCACCTTTAACATTCCCCACTACAATTCCACATGAGCATTGGTAGGGACACAGAATCAAATCATATTATTCTGGCTCTTGCTCCCCAAATCTTGTATCCTTGTCACACTGCAAAATACACTGATGACTTCTCTACTGTCCCCCAATGACTTAACTCATTCCAGCATTTACTGAAATGTACAAGGACTTACAGACCCCATGCAAGTCAAAAACCCAGCAGGCCAGTCATTGAATCCTGCAGCTCCAAATCATCTTTTCTGAATCTACATCTCACATCTAGAGCACAGGTGTGTGATGCCTGGGCTTCCAAGGCCTTGGGCAGCTCTGCGCCTGTGGCTGTGCAGGGTCTATACCCCACAGCTGCCCTCATGGGCTGGGCTGATGTTGAGTGCCTGTAGCATTTCCATACTAAGGGTGCCAGCTGTTGGTGAGTCTATGAATCTGGAGTCTGGAGAATGGTGCCTCCATATTTAGGGACTCCAGCCCTAAATTCTCCTTCTGTACTGCCCTAGTAAAAGTTTCCCATGAGGCTCTGCCTCTTGGAAAAGATTCTGTGTGAACACCCAGTTTTTCCGTACATACTCTGGAGTCTAGACAAAGGCTTGCAAGCGTCTAGTTTTGTGCTGTGTGCAGCTGCTGGCTTAACACTATGTGGAAGCCACCAAGCCTTGAAGCTTGCACCCCTGAAGCAGTGATGCAAGGTGTACCTGTGCATCTTTCAGCCAAGGCTGGAGCTGGAGCTTCAGGAATGCAGCCAGCAGTGTCCTGAGGTTGGACATAGCAGCGGGGCCATGGGGCTGGAGAAGGAAACCATTCTTTTCTCCCAGGCCTCAGGGCCTGTGATAGCAAGGGCTGCTGCAAAAGTCTCTGAAATGCCTTCAAGACCTTTTTAACATTGTATTGGCTATTAGCACTGAACTCCTTTTTATGCACATTTCTGAAGACTTTTTTAACTTTCCCACTGATAATCAGCTTTTCTTTTTGGCCACTTGGCCAGGCTTCAAATTATCCAAACTTTTAAGCTCTCCTTCTCATTTAAATACAAGTTTCACCTTGAGGTCATTTCTTTGGTCACATATAGGACCACAGGCTGTTCGACACAGACAGGAAACCTCTTAAGCTTTGCTGCCTAAAATTTCATTCCACCAAATACACTCTAAATTATCACCCTGATGTTCAAAATTTCACAGGTCTCCAGGTTAGGGGCATCATGCAGCAACATTCTTTGCTAAGGAAAAAACAAAAGTGACCTTGACTCCTGTTCCCAGCAAGCTCCTCATTTTCATGTGAGACATTCTAAGCCTGGTGATCACTGTCCATCCTTCTGTCACCTTTTTAATTATAACTATTTAACAAGTCTCTACACTGTTCCACACTTTTCCTCATCTTCCTGTCTTCTTCCAAGACCTCCAAACTCTCCAACCTCTGGCCATTACACACTTCTCAACCTGCTTCTACATTTTCAGCTACGTTTGTCACAGCCTGGCAATGTGGTAAAAGAAGAAAAGTCCATTTCAGGAGAAAAATTAATGCAGGCTTCAGACATTTGCCTGAAAAGAAGCTGAGTGCTGATTGCCAAGAGAATAGGAAAAAGGCCTTGAAGGCATTTCATAGTTCCACTTTATAGCATTATTTTTCTGTATAATCAGAAAGAAAAGAGGTTGAACTGGCTCATGGTTCTACAAGCTTTAAATAAATCATAGAGGCTTCTGCTTCTGGGAGGACTCAGGAAGCCTCCCAATCATACCAGAAGACCAAGCAGCAATGGGATGTTTTATATGGCAGAAGTAGAAACAAAACAGAGAGGAAAAAGGTGCCACACGTTGTATAACCCTGTTATACAACCAGATTTCCTGAGAACTCACTATCACAAGGTCAGTATCAAGAAGATGTTGCTTAACCATTGGTGAAAGTTCTGCCCCCTACCACCCACACCCCTCACTGTTTCCAGGCAGAAGCCTGAGGAAGAGGCAGAGCCACTAGGAAAACCTCTAATAGGGCAGAGCAGAAAAAGTATATGGGCTTGGAGGCCCCACACAGGAGGTTACCATCCTCAGACCCCAGATTCATAGACTCACCAACAGCTTGCACTCTCAGTATGGAAAAGCTACAGGCACTCAAGCAACAGCCCAGCCTATGAGGGCAGCCATGGGGGCTACACCCTGCAAAGCCATAGGTGCCCTGCCCTGGTGGAGGTTTTCCTTGAGGCTTTGCCTCTGCAGCAGGCTACTCCCCCTTACTACTGCCCATGAAACTCTCACCACCCTACTGCCAGCCTACTCCTCCCCATCCTACGCATTTGTTTTCCCTTCCACCGCTACCAACCTCCCCTTTGTGATTAAATCACCTCCCACCAGGCCCAACCTATAACTGTCAGGAATACAATTCCCCATGAGTTTTTGTAGGGAAACACAGCCAAACCATATTATCCTGACCCTGACACCCCCACATCTCATGTCCTTCTCACACAGAAAAATACAAACATGCCTTTTCAAAAGTTTCAAAAAGTCTTAACTCATTCCAGCAGTAACTCAAATGTAGTAAGTTCAAGTCTCATCCAAGACAAGGCTGCAATCCCTTCTGCCTATGACTCCCTGAATGTAAAAGACAATTCTTTTCTTTCAAGTTACAATGATGGCACAGGCATTGGGTAGGCTTTCTTAAACCAAAGGGAAGGTTATCCCAGAAAAATAACACAAATGGGACACAGGCCCAATCCGACTCCAAAACCCAGCAGGACAGCATTCATTTATCACGAGAACTCACTATCACACAGACTGCATTAAGGAGATAGTATTTAACCATTTGTGAAGGATCTGCCACCCATCCCCATGTTTCACCCTCACCCACACCATGAACCTCCATTCTCCCACATCCCCCTTCCAACCCCCATTCTCTACCATGATTAAATCACCTTCTACGAAGCCCCACACTTAACATTCCCCATTATAATTCCACATGAGTTTTGGTAGGGACACAGAGCCAAATCGTATTATTCTCCCTTTGGCCCCCCAATCTCACATCCTTCTCATACTGCAAAATACAATGATGCATTCTCTACAGTCCCCCAATGTCTGAACTCATTCCAGCATTTACTCAAATGTCCATTTGTGAAGGATCTACCCCCTACCCCTGCCTTTCACCCCCAACCCCACCACAATCGCCCCCAACCCTCCCCACCCCTTAATCCCCCCAACCCTCCCCACCCCCAACCATCTAACCTCCACCCTTCACCATGATTAACTCACCTTCCACCAGCCCCCACCTTTAACATTTCCCATTAAAATTCTACATGAGTTTTGGTAGAGACACAGAGCCAAAACATATTATTCTGTCCCTGGTCCCCCAAAGTTCATGTCTTTCTCACATTGCAAAATGCAATGAGGCCTTCCCTAGAGTCCCCCAAATCTTAACTCATCCCAGCATTTACTCAAATGTCCAAAGGCCAAAGTCTCCTCTGAGACAAGGCTGCCATATTTTCTGCCCTGAGCCTCTGAAATACAAAGCAAGTTAACCACTTCCAAGTTACAATGATTGTACAGGCATTGGGTAAGCATTCCAAGCCAAAAAGTAGAAATTTCCCAGAAAGAAGCACAAAACACAGATGGGACTTACAAACCCCCTGCAAGTCAAAAACCCAGCAGGCCAGGCATTCCATCATACAGCTCCAAATCATCTTTTTGGAATCTATGTCCACATCCAGAGCACAGGGTTTTGTGATGGCTGGGATCCCAAGGCCTTGGGCAGCTCTGCACATGTGGCATTGCAGAATCTTCCCCCTACAGCTGCCCTCATTGGCTAGGCTGGTGTTGAGTGCCTGTAGCTTTTCAACACTAAGGGTGCAAGCAGCTGGTGGGTCTATGATACTGGGGTCTGGAAAATGGTGCCTCCCTGTATGGGGACTCCAACCCTATACTTTCCTTTTCTACTGCCCGAGTAGAGGTTTACCATGAGGCTCTCCCTCTTGGAAAAGCTTCTGGTTAGACACTCAGGATTTCTGATATATCCTCTGGAGTCCAGACCAAGGCTCTGAAGCTTCTAGTCCTGTGCTTTATGCACCTGCTGGCTTAACACTATGTAGAAGCCACCAAGGCTTGGAGCTTGCATCCTCTGAAACAGTGACGCAAGCTGTACCTGTGCATCTTTCATCCATGGCTGGAGCTGGAAAAGGAGCTGCAGGGATGCAGGCAGCAGTGTCCTGAGGCTGCACACAGCAGTGGAGCCATGGGGCTGGGCCAGGAAACTATTCTTTTCTCCTAAACCCCAGGGCCAGTGACAGCAAGGGCTGCTACAAAGGTCTCTGAAACGCCTTCAAGGCCTTTTTCCCATTGTCTTGAATTATTAGCACGGGGCTCCTTTTTATGCAAATATCCGAAGGCTTCTTGATTTTCCCCCTGAAAGTCAGCTTTTCTTTTTGACCATTTGTCCAGATTACAAATTTTCCAAATGTTGAAGCTCTGCTTCTCATTTAAATATAAGTTCCAACTTATGGTAATTTCTTTCATCACACATAGGAGCACAGGCTTTTCGACGTAGGCCGGACAACTCTTCAGCTTTGCTGCTTAGAAGTTCATTCCACCAGATACACCCTAAATCATCACCCTAAAGTTCAGTTTCACAGATCTCCAGGGAATGGTCACTGTGTAGCCAATTACTTTGCTAAGGCAAAAGAAAAAACCCTTGGCTCCTTTTCCCAGTAAGTTTCTCATTTTCATCTGAGACCTTACAAGCCTGGCCTTCAGTGTCCATCCTTCTGTCAGCCTTTTAATCATAACTATTTAACAAGTCTCTGCAATGGTCCAAACTTTCCCTCATCTTGTTATCTTCTTCCAAGCTCTCCAAACTCTCTAACCTCTGGCCATTACCCAATTTGGAACCTGCTTCTACACTGTCATCTATCTTTGTTGCAGCCTGGCGATATGGTAAAAGAAGAAAAGTCTATTATCAGGGGAAACATCAAGATGGCTTCCAATATTTGCATTGAAAAAAGCTCAGCGCTAATAGCCAAGAGAATGGGGGAAGCGCCTAGAAGTCATTTCATAACTTCACTTCACAGCATTAATTTTCTGTATCTACATAAAGAAAAGAGGTCTAATTGACTCACAGTTCTTCAGGCTGTAAAGAAAGCATAGTGGTTTCTGCTTGTAGGAGGACTCAGAAAGCCTCCCAATTATACCAGAAGGCCAAGCGGCAATGAAATATTTCATATGGCAGGAGTAGAAGCAAGACAGAGAGAGGAAAGAGGTGAGACATCCTGTTATACAACTATATCTCATGAGAGCTCACTATCAGGAGATCAGCATCAAGAAAATTGTGCTTAACTGTTGGTGAAGGATCCGCCCACCTCCCCATATCCACCACCCACTGTTTCCAAGCAGAAGCCTGAGGCAGAGACAGATCCCCTTGAAAAACCTCTACTAGGGCAGTACAGAAGGAAAATATGGGCTTGGAGCCCCCATGCCACCATCCTCCAGACCCAAGAGTCATGGACCCACCAACAGCTCACACCCCCAGTATGGAAAAGCTTCAGGTACTCAACACCAGCCCAGCCCATGAGAGCAGCAGCAGGTGCTAAACCCTGCAAAGCCACAGGTGCAAAACCACAGGTGCACTGCCTTAGTAGAGGTTTTCCATGAGCCTCTGCCTCTGTGGCAGGCTACTCCCTTCCTGCTACACACCACCCTACAGCCAGCCTACTCCTCCCCACCTTACCCACCTGTTTTTACTTCCAACCCCACCCCTCTCCCATCCATGAATAAATCACCTCTCACCAGTCCCCACCTGCAACATTCGGGATTACAATTACATGTGAGTTTAGGTAGGGACACACAGCTAAACCATATTATTCTGACCCTGATCCCCCAAATATCATATCCTTCTCACAGAGTAAAATACAATCATGCCTTTTCAAAAGTTGCCAAAAGTCTTAAGTCATTTCAGCATTAACTCGAATGTAAAAAGTTCCACGTCTCACCTGAGAAAAGGCTACAGTCCCTTTTGCATACAAGTCCCTGAATTTAAAAGGGAGTTCTTTTCTTTCAAGGTACAATGATGGTACAGGCATTGGGTAAGTTTTCTCCATCCAAAGGGTAGAGGTTTGCCAGGAAAATAACACAAATGGGATCACAGGGCCAATGCAAGTCCAAAACCCAGGAGACCAGTATCCATTAAATCTCACAGCTCCAAAACCATCACGAGAACTCACCATCATGAGGAAAGGATTAAGGAGATGGTGTTTAACTATTTGTGAGGGATCATCCCCCCACCCCCACTTTTCACCCCTCACCCCCAGCATAATCCACCCATCCTCCCCAGTCTCCACCTTCCAACACCCAGTGCCCTCCATGATTAAATCACCTTCCACCTGGCCCCAATTTTAACATTTCTGATTACAATTCCACATGAGTTTCCATAGCGACACACAGCCGAATCTTATTATTCTGTCCCTGCCTCCCCAAATCTCATGTCCTTCTCATTTTGCAAAATACAGTGATGCCTTACTTACAATTCCCCAAGCCACTATGCTTTTTTTTTACAGCCTGCAGAACCATCAGCCGATTAAACCCCTTTTTGTTATGATCATACAGAAAATTAGTACTGTGAAGTGAAGCTATGAAATGCCTTCAATGACTTTTCCCCATCGTCTTGGCTAAGACCTCCAAGGTCTTAACTCATTCCAGCATTTACTTCAATATCTGAAGCCCAAAGTCTCATCTGAGACAAAGATGCAGTCCCTTCTGTTCCTGAGCCTCTGAAATACAAAGCAAGTTAACTATTTCCAAGGTATGATTGTCCAGGCATTGAGTAAGAATTCCCACCCTAAAGGAAGATTTTTGCCAGAGAGAACAACGAAACACAAATGGGACTTACAGGTCCCAGGAAAATCCAAAACCCAGAAGGCCAGTTACTCAAACTTACAGCTCCAAAGTCATCCTTTTTTAATCCTTGTCCCACATCCAGGGCACAAGGGCATGAGGGCTGGACTCCCAAGGCCTTGGGCTGGTCTGCACCTGTGGCTTTGTAGTTTTCAGTCCCCACAGCTGCCCTCATGGGCTGTGCTGGTGTTGAGTGCCTGTAGTTTTTACCCACAGAGTGTACAAAGCTCTTGGTGGGTCTATGAATCTGGGGTCTGCATATGGTGGCCTCCAGTGTGGGGGCTCCAACCCCCTATTTTCCTTCTGCACTGCCCTAGTAGAGGTTTCCCAGGAGGCTCTGCTTTTTTGGCAGCCTTCTGTCTGGACACCCAGGCATTTTCATACATCTTCCAAAATCTATATGAAGGCTCTGAAGCCTCTGGGCTAGTGCTCTATGGACTTGCTGGCTTAAGACTATGTGGAAGCCGTGAAGCCTTATAGCTTGTACCCTCTGAAGCAGTGATGCAATCTGTACCAGTGCATCTTTCAGCCAAGGTCGGAGCAGGAGCTGCGGCTGCTGGGATGCAGGCAGCAGTGTCCTGAGGCTGCACACAGCAGCAGGGCCATGGGGCTGGCCCCAGAAACCATTCTTCTCTCCTAGGCCCCAGGGTCTGTGACACCAAGGGCTGCTGCAACCATCTCTGAAATGCCTCCAAGGCTTTTTCCCCCCATTGTCTTGGCTATTAGCACTGGCCTCCATTTTATGCAAATTTCTGGAGCCTTCATGAATTTTCCCCCTGAAAATCAGCTTTTCTTTTTGACCACTTGGCCAGGCTGCAAATGGTTCTAAACTTTTGAGCTCTGCTTGTCATTTAAATATAAATTCCAACTTGAGGTCATTTCCTCAGTCACACATAACCTTGGTCACACAAGAACACGGGCTGTTTGATGCAGACAGGATCCCCCTTGTGCTATGCTGCCTAGAAGTTCATTCCACCAGATATGCACTAAATCATCACCCTCAAGTTCAAAGTTTCACAGATCTCGAGGGCAAGGTCGCGCTGCAGCCATGTTCTTTGCTACAGCAAAACATAAGTAACCTTGGCTCCTGTTCCCAGTAATTTCCTCATTTTCATCTGAGACCTTGTAAGCCTGGCCTTCACTGTCCATCCTTCTGCCAGCCTTTTAATCACAACTATTCAACAAGTGCCTACGATGGTCCAAAATTTCTTTCATCTTCCTGTCTTCTTTCAAGCTCTCCAAACTCTCCAACCTCTGGCTGTTACCCACTTCTGAACCTGCTTTACATTTTCAGCTATCTTTGTTGCAGCCTGACAATGTAGAAGAAAAAGAAGTCCATTTTCAGGGGGAAACTTCAAGAAGTCTTCAAATATTTGCATTAAAAAGAAGTCCAGTGCTAATAGCCAAGACGATGGGGAAATGTCATTGAAGATATTTCATAGCTCCACTTCGCAGTACTTTATTTTCTGTATGATCATAATGAAAAGGGGTTTAATTGGCTCATGGTTCTGCAGGCTGTAAAGAAAGCATAGTGGCTTCTGCTTCTGGGAGGACTCAGCAAGACTCCCAATCATACCAACAGGAAAACAGCAATGAAATATTTCATACGGCAGGAGTAGGAGCAAGGCTGAGAGAGGAAAGAGGTGCCACACCGTTATATAATCAGATCTCATGAGAACTCACTATCACTATGTCAGCATCAAGAAGATGGTGCTTAACCATTGGTGAAGGATCCGCCCCCCAACACAGCTCCACCTCCTAGTGTTCCAGACAGAAGCCTGCTGCAGAGGCAGAGGCTCTTGGGAATCCTGTACTATGGCAGTGCAGAAGGAAAATAAGGGCTTTGACTGACTATGCAGGAGGCCACCATCCTCGAGACCCCAGATTCATAGACCTACCAACAGTTCACACCCTCAGTATGGAAAAGTGATAGGCTCTCAACACCAGCCCAGCCCATGAGAGCAGCCATGGGGGCTAAAGCCTGCAAAGCCACAGGTGCACTGCCCTGGTAGAAGTTTTCCATGAGCCTCGGCCTCTGCAGCAGGCTACTCCCCCTTCCTACTATCCATCACCCTCCCACGGCCCTACAGCCAGCCTACTCTTCCCCACCCTACCCACCCCATTTTTTCTTCCACCCCTACCCCTCCCATCCATGATTAAATAATCTCCCACCAGGCCCCATCTCCAAAATTTGGGATTACAATTCCACATGAGTTTTTCCAGGGGCACACAGCCAAATCATATTATGCTGACCTTGACCCCCCAAATATCATATCCTTTTCACAGAATAAAATACAATCATGCCTTTTCAAAGGTTTCCAAAAGGCTTAACTCCTTCCTGCATTAACTCAAATGTAAAAAGTTTTAAGTCTTATCTGAGACAAGGCTGCAGTCTCTTCTGCCTATGAGTCCCTGAAGTTAAAAGGGTGTTTGTTTCTTTCAAGGTACAATGATGGTACAGGTACTGGGTAAACTTTCTCAATCCAAAGGGAAGAAATTTCCAAGAAAAATAACACAAATGGGACCACAGGCCCAATGGACATCCAAAATCCAGTACGTCAGTGTTCATTCAATCTCACAGCTCCAAAATCATGAAGAGAACTCACTATCAGAAGGACAGCATTAAGGAGATGGTGTTTAACCATTTGTGAAGGATCCACCCCCACCCCTGCCTTTCACCCCCAACCCCACCACAATCCCCTCCAACCCTCCCCACCCCCGATTCCCTCCAACCCTCTCCACCCCAGAATCCCCCCCACCCTCCCGGTGCCCCCAACCATCCAACCTCCACTCTCCACCATGATTAAATCACCTTCCATCAGCCCCCACCTTTAACATTTTGCATTAACATTCCACATGAGCTTTGGTAGAGACAGAGAGCCAAAACCTATTATTCTATCTCTGGTCCCCCAAAGTTCATGTCTTTCTCACATTGCAAAATGTAATGATGTCTTCCCTAGAGTCTCTCAAATCTTAACTCATTCCAGCATTTACTCAAATGCACAAAGCCCAGAGTCTTATCTGAGACAAGTCTACAGTCCCTCCTGCCCATGAGCCAGTGAATTGTAAAGCAAGTTTACTACTTCCAAGGTACAATGATTGTACAGGCAGTGGGTGACTCACAGGATACATAAGTGTCCAAAACCCAGCAGGCCAGTCACTTAATGCTACAGCTCCAAAATCACCATTTTTGAATCCTTGTCCCATATCCATAGCACAGGGCTGTGAGGGCTGAGCTCCCAAGGCCTTGGGCAGATCTGCACCTGTGGCTTTGCAGCGTTCAGCTTCCGCGGATGTCTCTCATGGACAGGGCTGTTGTTGAGTGCCCATAGCTTTTCCACACTGAGGGTGCAAGCTGTTTATGGGTCCATGAATCTGGGGTTTAGAGAATGATGCCTCCCTGTGTGGGGGCTTCAACCCTATAGGTCCCTTCTTTGCTCCTCTAGTAGAGGTTCCCCATGAAGCTCTGCCTCTTGGAAAAGCTTCTTCCTGAACATCCAGGATTTTCTGTACATCTTCTGGAGTCTAGACGGGAGTTTCCAATCCTCTAATCTCTTTCTCTGTGCACCTACTGGCTTAACACTATATGGAAACCATCAAGACTTTGAGGCACCTCTGAAGCAATGACCCAAGCTGTACCTGTGCATCTTTCAGCCATGGCTGGTGCTGGAGCTGCACGGATGCCGACAGCAGTGTCCTGCGGTTGAGCACAGCAGCAGAGCCATGGGACTGGCCTAGGAAACCATTCTTTTCTCCTAGGCCCCAGGGCCTGTGACAGCAAGGGCTGCTGCAGACATCTCTAAAATGCTTTCAAGGCCGGTTTCCCACTGTCTTGGCGTTTTGCACTGGGTTCCTTTTTATACAAATACCCTAAGCCTTCTTGAATTTTCCCCCTCAAAATCGGCTTTTCTTTTTGACCACTTAGCCAGGCTCCACATTTTCCAAACTTTAGATCTCCACTTGAAGTTCCAACTTGAAGTCACTTCTTAGGTCACCCATAAGAACACAAGCTGTTCAATGTAGGCAGGACACCTCTTGTGCTATGCTGCCTAGAAGTTCATTTCACCAGATACATCCTAAATCATCACCCCCAAGTTCATAGTTTCACAGATCTCCAGGGCAGGGTCCCCATGCAGCCAGCTTCTTTGCTAAGGCCAATCAAATGTAATCTTGTCTCTTGTTCATAGGAAATTCCTCATTTTCATCTGAGAACTTTTAGGTCTGGACTTCAGTGTTTACACTTTTGTCAGCCTTCCTATCACAAGTATTTAACAATTCTCTATAGTGGTCCAATATTTTCCTCATCTTGCTGTCTTCTAAGCTTTCCCAACTCTTCTGACCTCTGTCTTTTACCCACTTCTGAACCTGGTTCTACATTGTCAGCTATCTTTATCACAGCCTGGCAATGTGGTAAAACAGAAAAGTCCATTTTCAGGGGGAAAGTTCATGAAGGATTCAGATATTTGCATGAAAAGAAGCTGAGTGCTGGTTGCCAAGACAAAGGGGAAAGGGCCTTGAAGGCATTTCATGGCTCCACTTCATAGTACTAATTTTCTGCATGATCATAAAGAAAAGAGGTTTAATTGGCTCACGGTCCAGCAGGCTGTAAAGGAAGCACAGTGGCTTCTGCTTCTGGGAGGATCAGATCAGGAAGCCTTCCAATCATACCAGAAGGCCAAGGGGCAATGAGATGTTTCAAATGGCAGGGGTAGAAGAAAGACTGAGAGAGGAAAGAGGTGCCACCCCCTGTTATATAACCAGATCTCATGAGAACACACTATCATGAAGAGAGCATCAAGAAGACGTTGCCTAACCATTGGTGAAGGATCTGCCTCCCACCCCCACCTCCCACTGTTTCCAGGCAGAAGCCTGCTGCAGATGAAGCATTCTTGGGAAACCTCTACTAGGGCAGTGCAGAAGGAAAATATGGACTTGGAGCCCCCATGCAGGGGGCCACCACCCTCCAGACCCCAGATACATAGACCCACCAACAGCTTGCACCCTCCGTGTGGAAAAGCTACAGGCACTCAACACTAGTCCAGTCCATGAGAGCAGCCATTGGGGCTCAAACCTGCAAAGCCACAGGTGCGCTTCCCTAGTAGGGATTTTCCATGAGACTCTGCCTCTGCAGCAGGCTACTACCCCTTCCTACTACCCACCACCCTCCCACCACCGTACAGTCAGTCTACTCCCTCGCACCCTACCCACCCCTTTTTCCCTTCCACATCCACCCCCACCCATCCATGATTAAATCACTCCCTCCCACTCCCTGTCATAATCTAATCCCTCCAAACCCTTCCAATCTTTGTTTGCTACCCACTACTGAGCCTGCTTCTACTTTTTCAGAAATCTGTATAGCAGGTTGGCTATGTAGCAATAACAAAAATCCCATTTAAGGGGAACATTCAAGAAGATTTCAGAAATTTGCATATAAAGAAGCCCTGTGCTAATAGCCAAAACAAAGGGAAAAAGGCCTTGAAGGCATTTCACAGCTCCTCTCTGCAGTTCTACTTTTCTGTATTATTGTAAATAAAAGAGGTGTAATTGACTCATGGTTCTGCAAGCTGTGAAGGAAGTATAGTGTCTTCTGTTTCTGTGAGGAATCAGGAAGCCTCCTCATTATATCAGAAAGCCAAGGGACAATGAGATGTCTCCTAAAGCAGGAGCAGGAGGATGAGATCTGTTAAACAACCAGATCTCATGGAAACTCACTCATTATCAGGAGGATAGCATCAAGGTGATGGTTCTTTATCATTCGTGAAGTATCTACCTGCACCATTTTATGACTAAATCTTTTTCCACCTAGACCTTGCCTGTAACATTACAAAATATAATTCCACATGAGTTTTGGTAGGGACATAGACAAAAACCGTATTATTCTGTCCTTGACCCGATGAATCTCATGTCCTTCTCACATTGCAAAATACAAACATGCCTTGCCAGCAGTCTCCCAAAGTCTTAACTCATTTCAGGATTAACTCAAAGTTACAAAGTCCAAAGTCTCATCTGGGTCAAGGCTACAGTCTCTTTTGCCTATGAGTCTCTGAAATAAAAAGCAGGCATTGTGTAAGCTTTCCATTTCCAAAAGGAAGACATTTTCCAGAAAGCTTCTTATTTCTCTCTGAGACCTCCTCAGCCTGGCCTTCACTGTCCATGTTTCTGTCAGGATTTTTGTCACAACCATTGAACCAGACTCTAAGATGGTCCAAAAGTTTTCTCATCTGTCTTCTTTTGAGCCCTCCAAACTCTTCCAACCTCCATCCATTACCTGGTTCCAAAGCTGCTTCCACATTTCCAGGTATCTTTATAGCAAAGCTCCAGTCCTCATTTGCCATTTCCTGTATGATTTATTTTGAAAAAGAGGTTTAATTGGCTCATGGTTCTAAGCACAGTGCTTCTGCTTCTAGGCCTCAGAAATCTTTCAATAATCATGGAAGGCAAAGAAAGAATCAATTGTCTCACATGGCAAGGGGAAAACACGGAGAGTGGGGAGGTGATATAGAGATTTCAGTGACTACATCTCATGAGAAGTCACTCATTATTGTGAGGATGGTACAAGGGGATGGTGCTGAACCATTCATGAGAAATTTGCCTTCATAATTCAATCACATTATACCAGGATCCACCTTCCACATTAGGAAATATAATTCAACATGAGATTCGGTGGGGACACATATTCAAATTGCATCATCAATCTTTGAATATAAAGACATCCACAGCAGGTTTTATCCAGCCAACTTCTTTGAGACTCTTTATAGAGTTTGAAGTCTAGAGCATATACACTAAAATATTCATACTTCAAAAAGCAATAAAGTGGTATTATCATTTTTCCAAAAGTTACAGCAGTAGTTTAGGCATTCATAGTATGATTTAGTTCACGATTGCTACTGTTTCTATTCTATCACCATATTAACTGTTTCCTATACAATTCTGTATTCAACTGGATTTCAGTTGAGCACAAAACCATCCTTGTACTAGCTCTTTGCTAGTGTTATTATTCTGCTGTAGAAAGTATCCTTGAACTGGAAACCGTCCACGATCGAGTATTGAGTCATTCAACACTATCAATTCCTGGGTGACTTTTTGAAAAAGTAGTATCTCTTGTTGCAAGAAATGCTGCATCTGTGAGTCCATGTCTCTCACTGGAATTGGATGGAAGTGGTGAATTTCAGCCAAAGTGGCCAAAGAAATCCTGTTCCTGTGATTCTGACGTCATCAGCCTCTGCACCTTCTTCTGCACCTGTGTCTTCCCTTCTGCCACATGTTGTCTGCTCTCCATGACTTTGGTAAGAGCTTCCTTGTGTATGTGGATGATGTCCAGGGTGTTGGTCTGGTGTCCCTGAGACAGCACTAACAGGTCCATGGCTGGGTCCAGGTCCTTCCTGGACTGACTGGCAAAGAGCTCACTGACAGAGTGGAAGGCATCTATACTGAAGTGGATGGCCTGGTCCAGCTCCAAGGCCTGGCTGAGGCTGAAGAAGAACTGTCAGGCTTCTGATGCTCTTTCTCAAAGCCTGCCACCACTCATTGGCTGTGAAGTTGAGCTGAGTGCCCTGTTGTCCATCTTCTTGGTGAAGCACTTGAAGCCGTCAATCTTGCTCTCCCACTCCTAAAAGTTGAGTGTCACACTGGGGGTGGGCTCAGGGCCAGGAAGAATCTGGCACTCACCATCTCATCCTTCTCAGCCTTCCTCTTGCCCTGTCTCCAGGCTATCTCTTCAGTGCTGGTGGGGCACATCAGGAAGTGACAAACAATGTGGCACTGCACCTGCATCCAGAAGCTGGCTGTGTGGTTCATCTACAAGATTGGGCCCTTTCTGCACTTGAACATAGATCCTACTTCAAAATAGATGCTTCCACACTGTCAGTGAGCTCTTTGCCCATCAGCCCAGGCAGGATCTGGACCCAGTCATGGACCTGTTAGTGCTGTCTCAGGGACACCAGGCCAACATTCTGGACATCATCCACATACACAAGGAAGCTCTTACCAGAGTCCTCCTCAAGATGGCCTGTGGTCTGCCTCTTGGCACCCGAGAAGCCCACAGTGCTGTAGAAGCCCCGATGCTTGGACTGGAGCCCCAAAGGCGGCACACACCCCAGTTCTGAGCCTGCTGCTCATTTCCTCTCTGTGGCTCCATTTGCAGCACATTTGTTGCACTGAGGCCTGTGCATGCCAGGCAAAGCCAAGCTGGCTCAAAGAGCAACCACCCACCTCTGCAATGGTGTGCCAGGAGCCAGTGGACCAGCCACCAACGTCACTCCCTGCCAGTCAGGGTAAATCAGTTATTCTGCCCTGGAGGTGGAGCCCCAGTGCCATCTGCTTTTCCTCAGGCCTCCACTCCATCAGCTGTCAGGTGGTGGTCACTCAGACTGTGGGAAACTGGCCATCCCTATTTCCTTGAGTGGGTGAGGTTGGTGACTGCTCCACCTGCTCCTGGCACACCCTTGCAGAGGTGGCTGGTTGCTCTTTGAGCCAGCTTGGCCTTGCCTGGCATGCACAGGCCCCAGGTACTGAGAAGCTGCTCCGAGTAAGGTTGTCTTGGGCCAAATTCTAAGTCTGGCCAGGGCCACAGAAGGCCGAGTCCCCTGGGTGGTAATCCTGGCTGCTGCAGGGGGGCCCATGGTGCCCCTCCCCTCCCAGGGCTCAGGATGAGGTCCGACTGGGACAGGATGCTTTAGGTATGGGGCTTGTGCCCCAGGAGGGGACCTCTGTCACACACGTTGGGTGAGAATATGTATGGCATGCTGCTGGCTGCCAGGGCTGTTGGGATGCACGTTCACCCTTCCCTTCAGGGACCTCAAAGTGACCAGCTTCCCCTTTATGAATGACTTCCAAGGCCCAGGAGCCATTTGGGGCTGCAGAGCAGCTGGCTGCATGCTGCCCTGGCTTCTTCCATGTTGTGCTGGTCACTACCTACCAAGGGGGGTCAGATGCAGGCACAATGTAGGACGATTGTCTCTGGACCTGTGTCTTGGTTATCATGGAGCTAGACTGGGCCTGGTGACAGGGCCCTGATGGGGTTGTCCTGTGTGGTCACGGAGGTGATCAGAAAAGATGCAGAATGGAATTGCTGCGAGGATGAATGAGATGACTGTCAGCACATAACAGGCAGCTGGTGAGTGTTCAGGGATTACCCTCAGTAGCTGCCCAGAGACCAAAACCATCCACCTGATAGTGACTTTTCCCAAGCCAGGAGGAAGAGAAAAGAGCAGGTCCCACTCACCTGAATCTGATCAGTGAGCTGTGTTGAGATGTGCCTCTCATCTAGAAAATGGTCCTTCACGCAGAGCTACTCACAGACACTGCTGTGTGTCTCTAACTGCTCCACAACACAGAGGTGATGGGGACTCAGCAACAGTGACATTGTGGGGTGACACAACCCACCACCATGGGAGTCTGCTTGGGTCAACAGGGCCCAGAGTCAGTGTCCTCTATCCCCTGAACTGACATGTGTGTATGCAATGTATTTGTGTATGCATGTGTGCCTGTGTGTGTGTGTGTATGTGTGTGTTTGTCTTGCTTCTCTGGACAGGCCTAGCTTCTCCACTCATGGGTGCACCCAGGTCCTCATCACTGTCACCTTAGAGCATTAGAGCCTCTATAGGTGCTCCCCAATCTCTGCCCTCCCCACCCATGGTGGTCCTGGGGATGCAGACAGAGGAGGGGCACTGCATAATGCTGAGAGGGCTGGCACCCTCTCTAGGTGGAACACAGGTCATTTGTAAAGTTGTAGGTCTGCCAAGCAGTATTGGATTCAACACATCTTCTCACCTTCTCTTTCCAGCCACCCTCCAGGGTGCCCCGACTCACTTTCCCTGCAGATGGAGGCAAGGAGGCTCCACAGACAACCCCCCTGCCTGAGGTCACATAGTGGCCAGCAGGCCAGGTACTGACAAACTGCCCCTGACCAGGTTCCCAGTGATGAGTGATGAGACCCCTAATGACCACTCCTCCATTGACCAGGTCCCACTGATCAAGTCCCCACTGACCATGTCTTCCTAACCAGGCCCACACTTAATAGGCCTCATGGGCCAGACCCCACTGACCAATTTTCCACTGACCTGGTCCCCATTGACAAGACAGGGTTCCCACTGACAAGACCACAATTTACCAGGTTGCTGCTCAACCGACCCCCCACTGAACAATTCTCCATGAACGAGTACCCAGCTGACTGAGCCCCCTCTGACCAGGCCCTCACTGACCAGGCTCCAAGCCACTAAGGCCCCACACTGACCAGGCCCGTGATATATTGTGTATGCCCCACCAACCAGTTTTTCATTGTTTATGTTCCAACAGATCAGGCCCCACTAATAAAGCCACCACTGACTAGGTCCCCCCACTGACCAGGCTTCCAATGACTAGGTCACCAGGTCCCCATTGATGAGGCCTTTACTGAGGAGGCCGCCACTAACCAGGCCCCTGCTGATCAGGTCCCAAATGACCAGGTCCTGATGACCAGGTCATCTCTGACCATGGTCCACTGACCAGGCCCCGGAGCAATGGGGTTCAAAGTCTCATTACAATGTCCCCCTCAGCTCATAGACCCTCCCTCCCTGCATGTGTGCCCAGAGGTCAGGCCCTGGGGGTTTTTTTGGGACGTGGCCTTTCCTCCAAGACACAGGGAGAGACAGTTGGCCTCAGGCTCCAGGTTCCGAGATCCACACTCACCCCAAAGGCACTCTGGGCCCGTCTCAAAGGAGAAAGTGAGGTGGCCTGACACTGCCTGGACACACCATCTACCCTATTCCTGAGTGTCAGAGTGTGAGGAAGGGAGGGACTTTTGGCAGATAAGGCACGCTGTGCTGTTGGGTCTCTCAGGGCCCTTCCCACAGAGCCCCGATCTAAAGACACAACACAGAGGCTACAGGAAGACTAATCCAGAACCTCTGAGACAGCCAGGGACCACATGAGGACTCTCCCCAGACAGGCAGAAGGCCCTTTGCTAGTTTCTTGGTACTTCAGTGGATGTGGCAGTGGTTCTTCTGTTGGGGACCAGTGAGTACACACTGGGGAGGGCTCACCTGTGCTTCCTCAGTGGCTCCACCTCTGCTTCTAAAAAAAATTACTCATTCCAGAGCTGGCGCAGAGAAAATACAAGCTGAGCTTAGAACATCTTCTGCCAGAAAGTAAAAAAGTGCCGACGGAGTAATGGAGACAAATCAAAGAGACATAAAGTCAGCTTGGAATGTCTACTACTGGCCTAATCTTGGGGAATTGGAGCATCAGAATCATGAGCTTTCCTTCTCCCTTATTTATTGGTTTTATTTCTCCATGTAGAACAAAGAGGAGAATAAGAAAATAATCATCTGGTAACTATCATAGTAATAATTGTTCAAACACAAGTCATCCATGAAATGCTAAATCTAGTGGGTTCTGAGGAGTAACCAGATATTTACAGAGCCTCAAAGTATCTCCATACAAAATACGGTTGAACTACAAAAAGAAAATTGTAACATTAGCATGGACAAACCTTGCAGGTACTACTTAACTCTCCTAAGTAATAAAAACTGTAAAATGCAAATAAGCCTTCGATGACCTTTACTAACCTTTACTAAAGTATCAATGATGACTTGGTTGTTTAAACAGCTGACATTTGGGCAATTTGAATATGTCAAACTCAATAATACTGGTTTTCATTTGCAAGATCCACTTAAAACTTAAGGAGGCCAAAAAACATCATTTAAAATACCCTATAAATTATAATCATACATATGATACAAAAATATCCTACTTCAGTAAACATTGGAATGTTATATATTTCATGAGAAACAATTAAAATGTGTAAATAGCCCAGTAATAAAGTTTTATAATCTTTTAAATCATCATAGAATTTTTCCTTAAGACTTTATGGTTAAATATTCTCTTCATTAGATGTGGCTTACCCGTGGATTCTAGAGAAGAAAGTAGATGGGAGCAAGTGTCCAATACAGCAACAGCTGGAAAGAAAAATAAAGAATTTTGTTCTTTACCTAAAACACTTCAGTTAACTAAGTGTGAGTTTAAAAACTAAAGACTTGAGAACTTTATCAGAGTTAATAAGTGAGAAATATGTATGTACATATACAACACAAAATTACTATTTAATAATTTACACATGGCATTAATTCTAACTGTGTTTAAATATCAGAGCTTTTTCAGTCTTCATTCATGTAATCAACAGCCACATGCTAAGGTACTAGAACCAGCACTGGAATTACAAGATGAAGATGGCATGGTCCACCTCTCAACAGTCATAAGCTATAACCTAAAAAACAGACAGGCAGGAAATGTCCATATAGAGTCATAGATACCATGACAGGTATACAGCAGGGCACTACTGGAACACAGAGAAAGGACATCTACCCACTTTTATGTCAATATCATGGGCTTTCTGGTGGAGGAGATAACATAGGTTGATGCCTGAAGGACAAGGAAAAGCTTCCCAGATAGAGGAAAGAGGCAAAGGCAAAGAGCCTGAGGTGAGGAAGAGCCCTGCAGAGTTCCACTCCATCCAGTTTGGTGCTACAGCAAAGGGCAGAGTGCAATAAGTGGTGAGAAACAAGGCTGAGTAACTTGGCAAGAATTACATTGACATGGGTGTTTTTATTTCATGGTGAAAAATTTGGAACTTTTCCTGAGAACAAGTGTAAGCCAATGACACAGTAAATTAGAGGAGATTTAAAATGTCACCTGTCAAGTGACTGCTTATGAAGGGTTATTGCTCAGCTAAGTATTTCTGAATGAGTCTTAGGTCTGTTGGCCTTCAATCTCTACCAAAACCCTGAGAACTTGATGATGCTTTTGTTTTCTGAGAATCGTTTCAGTGTGCTGGCTGACAGTTCCATGAGGATGGCAAAACTTAAGAAAGTGTAGAGCCAGTGAAAAAGAGATGCACAGACTTCTTGGGAACTGTTTAAGCTTTGGAACATGATGAATTTATGGTGCATAAGTACAGTCTTCTCTGTGAAAGTTTTTGTTTTCACATCTTTCATTAGATGTGTGTAAGAAAAAAAATATTGATGTAGTATCTACTAACCCAAGAATGAAAAGGAATGCCATTTGCTATTTACACTTTATTTCTAAAATAAACCTAAATTTAATTAATAAATTTTGTCAACGTACTTCTCTTTGTTTCTCTAATTATTTATTCTACACAGTCCAGCCCCATCTAAAGTAAGTAAAAATAATAATAATGTCTAAATTAAACAAGAAACATTATAATGAAAATCATGTATCACTTACAAAATGTGGCCTTTAGTATTTTTAGTGACTAGACATAACTTGAAGTTTGCTTAAATAGAAAAATAATCACATAAATAAAATAAAATTTCTACTTATTTTAAGTTTAGATAACAGAGGATGTATATGTGTAATGCGGTTTAGAGTAATCTGACAAAAATGCAGTTAATATTGATCTATTGCATATACATGATTTTAGAAAGGTAGTGTTTTATTAGTACAAAGGTTAAACAATGGCCAGGCATGGTGGCTCATACCTGTAATCCCAGCACTTGGGGAGGCCAAAGCAAGCAGATCACAAGGTCAGGAGATCGTGACCATCCTGACCAACATGGGGAAACCCCATCTCTACTAAAAATACAAAAATTAGCTGGGCGTGGTGATGTGCACCTGTAGTCCCAGCTACTTGGGATACTAAGGCAGGAGAATTGCTTGAAGCCAGGAGGTGGAGGTTGCAGTGAGCCAAGACTGCACCACTGCACTCCAGCCTGGTGACAGAGTGAGACCCTGTCTCACAAAAAAAAAAAAAAAAAAAAAAAAAAAAAAAGATTAAGTAACTAAAGCCATCTTTTGCAATGAATGCATTGCTTTGAAATTCTCAGAAAACTCTGCCCTTTATAAAAGTTTAATCCATTTTTTACTTCAATAAATTTTATCTTAAAAAGAAATTTCTGTTCTCCACTTATAGGAAACTTTTCTTTTTTTTTCTAGTTTGTATTCTAAATTAACGTGGTACCTCTGTAAGTTTCTTCCAAAGGCATATTGAGGGATACCGAGGTTTGCAGTACAATTAAACCCATCACACAGGTTGTGAGCATAGGACCCAAGAAGTAGTTTTTCAACCCTGGCCCACTCTGTCCCTCCCCATTCTTATTTCCCAGTGTCTATTATTCCCACCTTTATGACAATGTGCACCCAATATGTAGCTCCCACATGAGTGAAAACATGAGATATTTGGTTTCTGTTTCTGCGTTGGTTTGTTTAGGAGAGTGGATTCCAGCTGTATTCATGTTGCTGCAAATGACGTGATTTTGTTCTTTTCATGGCTGCATAGTATTCCATGGTACATATGGAATTTTCCAATCTACCTTGGATTTTCAATCTACCTTGGATGTACCTGGATTGACTCCACGTCTTTGCTATTGTGAATAGTGCTGCAATGAACATACATGTGTATTCATCTTTTTGTTACAATGATTTATTGTCCTTTCGGTATACCCCTAGTATAGTAATGGGGTTGCTGCATCCAACAGTCATTCTTAGTTCTTAATTTCCAAACTGCTCTCCATAGTAGCTGAATTAATTTACATTGCCACAAACGGGTTGTGTTCCCTTTTCTCCACAGCCTCCCCAACACCCTTTTTTTAAGTTTTTATTTATTATTTGTTTTTAACAAAAGTCATTGTGACTGGTGTGAAATGGTATCTCATTGATGTTTTGTTTGGCATTTTTCTGATGATTAGCAATGGTAAGCATTTGTTAATGTTTGTTGGCCACTTACGTGTGTTATTTTGAGAACTGTCTGTTCATGTCCTTTGCCCATTTTTAATGGTCTTATTTATTTTTTGCTTGTTGATTTGTTTAGGTCTCTTATGGTTTCTGGATAATAGGCGTTTGCTATATCCATACTTTGTGAATATTTTCTTCCATTCTTTTAGGCTGTCTGTTTAATCCCGCGATAGTTTCTCATGCTGTGCAGAAGCTATTTAGCTAAATTAGATCACACTTGTCAATTTTTGTTATTCTTGCAATTGCTTTTGAGGACTTAGCCATAAATTAATTGACAAATATGATATCCAGAAGAGTATTTCCTAGGTTTTCTTCCAGGATTTTTATAGTCAGAAGATGTACTCTTATGTAAGGAAAGCACAAACATTTTTTTGTTTTGTTTTGAGACAGAGTCTCCATCACCAAGGCTATAGTGCAGTGGTATGATCTTGGCTTACTGCAACCTCTGTCTCCTGGGTTCAAGTGATTCTCCTGCCTCAGCCCCCTGAGTATCTGAGATTACACATGCCTGCCAACACGCCTTGCTAATTTTTGTATTTTTACTAGAGACAGGTTTCATCATGTTGGCCAGGCTGGTCTCAAACTCCTGACGTCAGGTGATTCATCTGCCTCGGCCTCCCCAAATTTTGGGATTACAAGTGTGAGCCACCATGCCTGGCCAAGCACAAAACTTTTAACATAAAAAGGGAAATGAACATTTTAGTGTTTTATTTAATTCATAAAATGCAATTATTTTGGATTCTACTAAATAATAAACATCCATATGTGGCAAAGTGTTTGGATGCCAATCATTCAGTTGTGATTATGGGTGGGAAGAATTGAGATGGTGCAAATAAACTTTTTTTGATTTTTTTTTTTATTTTCAAGATGGAGTCTTGCCCTGTCACCCAGGCTGGAGTGCAGTGGTGCAATCTCAGCTCCTGCAACCTCCGTCTCCCAGGTTCAAGCAATTCTCTGCCTCAGCCTTCCTAGTAGCTGGGATTACAGGTGCCCACCACCACACCAGGCTAATATTTTTTTTGTACTTTTAGTAGAGATGGGGTTTCACCACCTTGGCCAGGCTGATCTTGAACTCCTGACCTCGTGATACACCTGCCTCAGCCTCCCAAAGTGCTGGGATTACAGGCATGAGCCACCACACCTGGCTGGTGCAAAGAAACTTTAAAAGTGGCATGGGCTGGGTGCGGTGGCTCATGCCTGTAATCCCAGCACTTTGAGAGGCTCAGGCAGGCAGATCACAAAGTCAGGAGTTCAAGAAGAGCCTGGCCAATATGGTGAAACCCTGTCTCTACTAAAAATGCAAACATTAGCTGGGTGTAATGGTGGGTGCTTGTAGTCTCAGCTACTCAGGAGGCTGAGGCAGGAGAATCACTTGAACCCGGGAGGTGGAGGTTGCAGTGAGTGGAGATGGCACCAAGACACTCCAGCCTGGGTGACAGAGTGAGACACTGCCTCAAAAAAAAGAAAAAAAAATGTGGTATGAACCACAGCTAAACTACAATCAATTAGAGAGTAAGCCAAAGCATCTCAAAGTATATCATCAGTTATCAGGCAATAACATGCAATTTCTAAAACCTAACTTAAATGCAGCTTTTAAAGACATTTCAAACGTGTCAGTTTAGTCACATTTATTGAATAAAGTTAGCAAATGGATATCTCTTGAAAATGAGAGCTCCAGGGAATTAAAAAATGTAAAGTTCCCATTTCCTTTCTGTGTTAACACAGCTAATTATGATCTTTACTTCACATGCAAAAGTCAACAGAACAACTCAGTGTTTCACCAAATTATAAACAAGAATTACGCTAGACAAATGAAACCCTAAAGAGAAACGGTCATATAACTAACATCAGTCAAGTAGTTCTGGCAGTTATTTGAAGTCTGAGGTTTGAAGTAGGAATTCTTACGGGCATTTGGGGAATATATTTTCTGTTGAGTCCTATACTAGTAAGATTTTCAACACAAGGTGACTCTCGACCTCGCCTTGTAGGAAGAGTGCTGAGAAAATATTTCACCTGCTCTTTCTCCATAAAGAGCTGATACTGATCATTGCTATTTTCTTATTCGATCTGTAAAGATAGCAAAGACAAATGCTTAATATTTCATTTTTCCTTAAATGATTCTTAATGACTTGCAGTTTTTAAAAACTTACCCTGAGAGTAAACCAAATTACCCACTAAATAGTGTTTTCACAGAGAAGATGTGTAAGAGCATACCTGTTGTAAGGAATTATAATTTTAAAATCGTTCTAAAGAAGCACCATTGTTTCTAAGGTGATTTCTACTGAACAAGCAGTTCAAACAAAGTAGACAGGGAAGAGAAATGGCTATCAGTGATGTATGGCTCAACAGGTAAAACTTCCTGCCTTCTAAAATGGCTCTACTTGTAAGATTCTGAAGATTCCATTAGAAATACTTGTATTTAAAGGGTAATAATGTGGGAAAATGAATATATTGATTTGCTTGATTATAAGAACCACTTCACTAGAAATAATTATATCAAAACATCATGTTGTACTCCTTAATGTAGGTTAAGAAAACTAAAATGAACGAAAAAAAATCTAGGAATACTTGTGTTTAGTAAACCAGTTTTAGATTTCACTCTTGTACATTTCACCCATTATCTAGGACCAATTAAACATTTGGCACTGAGGAATAATTCAGAGCAACAACTCCTAGGGGAGAACTAGATTGTCTGGTTGGTGATCAAAAAGAACTAAAGCATCTCTGAAGGCAATTAGCCCCCAACACTGTGACCAAGGCCCTGGAGGTGGGGGCATGTTCTTTCTGCCTTCCACACACCGCTTCAGGCTGAACAAGGTGTTATTTTTTAACCGCTTTGTGAATTACACTTCTTTAAATTCCTGTGATAATTATTCCCTATTTCACAAGGGTGCCTTTCTGTAACATCTTGAATATGTTACACAAATAGTCTTTCTTGAGGCACCCTCTGGTGATAATACTAAAGATCACAATCAAAAACAATTGTGCCCAGAGTAGCAGTACCACTTTACATTTAGGTTGTGATCCACTGAAAAGTAAATTAAACACATTAATATTTCTATTTAGGGAAATTCTGACAAGTAATTTTATAACAAGATCACTTCATTAATTATAAAACTTCAAAAATACTTAGTGAAAAAAACTAATAGATCAGGTTAATTACATGAGACTTTTCAGGAAAAAAAGCCATACAAAAGCAAAAAAAAAAAAAAAAAATGAGAGGAGAGACAAAAACTATCTTTGACTAACATTTTAAAGGTAAAATTATTTACTAACATTATTTTTCAAAATTACATTGTCAAATTAGCATTCACTTCCTTCTAATCTCCTGAAGCCATCTCACTAAAAATTATGCTTTTGAAACAAATTAATGAGCTTAATTCATTTTCTATGAGTGTATGTTTTGACTTACTTAGTTAATTTTTTTGACATGGAACTGTTAGCTTTCAATGCTGCTGCAAAGCCTTCCTTATATTCTTCTAACTCAGTTGTAACCTCTTCATAAGCAGTTTTCATTTTGTAGAATTTACATTCCACATCTTTAAGTGTGAGTTCCTTCTTATTTAGTGAAGCTGTATTATATCCTTGTTTAACTGCTCTAATTGTTTTTTATATTGTGCTTGTTCCTAAAACAGAGGAAAAGAATACACTTTTAAAACAATTATAACCTAATTATTATGTTTGTTGCCTTTCATTTTGAGTCAGTGATTCAAAGAGCATTTTTGAATATGTTAAAAAAGAGGATGAAGTTTAAAATATTTCAGCAATATCAAAACTAATAACTGAATTCAGAATTAAGTCTGATTTGTAAAAATTTGAAATCATAATTATGCTAGTATTAATGTAATCTGGTCATATAAAAAGTAATAGCATCCATTCATAGTTTTAAAAAGTGATCAATGAACACTGTAGCTTAAGACCAATTCATAATTATCACATAATTTCTAAATCACAATTTTTTCCTATGCCAACTGGTCTTAATCATCAAATGACTCCATAATGAGAATCATTACTCTGAAAGATTGATTTTGTTATAATAATAATGGAAATTTAAATATTTAAAAGAAAAAACAGATACCATTTTTTTCTAGAACTCTACAAAGCAGATTGCTACAAGAGAGGCAGAGGAAACACTATATATATATATATATATATATATCCAAAATATAATTTGCAGTGAAATAAATGAAAGCACATTACAAGTAAACTTACCTGATTTAAACAACTCACCTGTAAATGGATTTCTTCTAATTTTTCTACTGCCTGCATTGCCCTTTCATCTAGCTCTGATTTATATTCTTGTAGTTTACTAAGTTCTACCATACTGTTTTCCATATGTGTCTTAAGATTTAATATTTCTTCTTCCAACATCTTTTTATCCTCCTCAAGTTTTTCACATTCCTGTTGTACTTTTTTCATAGATAATAACTTCTGTTGAAAAACTTGATTCTCTTTAGCCAAATTGACACATTTTGAAGATACAGCTTCCTTCTCCACCATAAGATCATCAAACTGCATGAATAAAATAGTATAGCTTGATAATGAAGTAGGCTGAGAATAATCTAATACAAAACCAATAGCAAATTTTGAAATGCATTTACTTGCAATAAAATGTTATCTGTAATGCAGCAGATTCTTCAAATGTGAACCCTTAAATTACTCAGAATTTTAAGAACAAAGTTAAAGCTACCATGAGTCATAAAAATATATTCTTTACTATCACCATCTTTGCCACAGAATTTTTGTACTTCATTTTACTTTTATTTTTCTGATAATTCATTTTTGTTCCTCCTTAAATGGCACAAAGTTATCTCCTAGTAAAAAGTGTCTAACCCCCTTCCTTCATTATTATTCCCCACAATATGTCAAAAAAAGTTTCAGAGATATCATATTGAGTTATTTAGGCCAAAGTCAATAAATGGGTCTAGGAATAAGACTTTGAAAATGATATTACACTCTATATTAGGCATGGTGGCTCATGCCTGTAATCCTAGCACTTTAAAAAGCTGTGGCAGAAAGATCACTTGAGGCCAGGAATTTGAGATCAGTAAGAGCAACATAGTGAGACCCCCCTCTCTACAAAAAAAAAAATTTTTAATTACCCGGGCATGGTGGCTCATGCCTGTAGACCCAGCTAGTTGGGATACTGAGGCAAAAGGATGGCTTGTACCCAGAGTTCAGGGCTGCAGTGAATTATTATCACTGCACTTCTGCCTGGATGACAGACAAAGACCCTATCTCAAAAAAAAATCCACAAAATAATGAAATCTATGATTAAGGATTCTGATGCTATAAGCCTTTCCTTAAACTGCAAATGTTTCATGCTAATTTGAATTGCATTTTAAGAAGTAATGATTCTTGGGGTAAAGACCATAGAATACGGCACCCAGAAATAAATCCACATATTTCCAGCCAACTGATTTTGGACGAACATGCCAAGAACATACGCTGGGGAAAGGACAGCCTCTTCAAATGAATGACACTGGGAAAACTAAATATCCATATGGAGAAGAATGATACTAGCTTCCTATGTAACACCATATAACAACATAAACTCAGAATCGATTGAAGACTGAAATGTAAGGCCCAAAATTATCAAACTACTCTTAGTAAATATAGGGAAAATGCTTGAGGACATTAGTCTGCACAAAGATTTTTATGGGTAAGACATCAGAAGCATAGGCAAACAACAAATCATAGACAAAAGACACTACATTAAGCTAAAGAGCTTCTGTCCAGCAAACAACTGAGCGAAGAGAAAACCTGTAGAATAGGAGAAAATATTGTCAAGCTATTCACCTAATAAGGGACTAATATACAAAATATACAAAAAAACTCAAACAACTTCACAGTAAAAAAAATCTGAGTTTAAAATTGGGCAAAATATCTAACTATACTTTTTTTTAGAAAAAGAAATACAAATAGCCAATAAATAAATTTTAAAATGCTCAGTATCACTAATCCTCAGGGAAATACAAATCAAATCTACAATGTGATATAATCTTGCTTCAATTTGAATAAATTGCTGTCATTGAAAATACAAAAAAATAACAAATGCTGGTGAGGCTCCAGAGAACAGTAAACTCTTACATGCTGTTGGTGGGAAGGTAAATTAGTGCAGCCGCAATAGAGAATAACAGGAGGTTTTCTCAAAAAAACTAATAATGGGACTGCCGAGGGATCCAGCAACCCCACTACCGGGTATTCAGGCAATAGAAAAGAAAACAATAGATCAAAAGGATATCTGTCCTCATATGTTTACTGTAGCACTATCCACAACAGCTTGTGTATGGAATCAACCTACATGTCCATCACCAAATGAATGGACGAAAAACTGTGGCACACAAACACAGTGGAATACTATTCACCGTATAAAGGAATTAAATCCTGTTATTCGTGGCCACGTGGATCAGTCTGACGGATGTTAAGTGCAGACACAGAAAGATAAATACTGCACATTCTTACTCATGTAAGGGAGCTAAAGGAAAATTGAAGGCTGGGCAATATGGCTGATGCCTGTAATTTCCTAGCTCTTTGTAAGACCAAGGCAAGAGAATCATTTGAGGCCAAAAGTTCCAGAGCTCCCTGGGCAACATAGGGAGATATCTCTACAAAGTCAAAAATCAGACATGTGCAATGGTGCATGCCCATAATGCCAGCTGCTCAGGAGACTGAGGTGTGAGGATCAGATGGGCCCAAGAGTTTGAAGCTGTAGTGAACTATGATCAAACCACTGTCTCCAGTCTGGGTGACTACAGTTGCCCAGAGTCCAGACTATACTAGCAAGACCCCGTCTCTTAACAAAAAAAAAGCTCACAGAAGTAGGGGAGGGGAGGCTGGTTAATGGATACAGAATTACAGTTAGATAAGAGGAGTGAGTTCTGGTGTTCTGTGGCATTGTAGGGTGAATATGGTTAACTATGACTTATTGTATATTTTTAAAAAGCCAGAAAATTTTGAATGTTCACAATTCAAAGAAATGAAAAATGGTTGAAGTAGTAAATGTGCTAGTTAGATTGATCATTACACACTATATACATGTATAAAAATATCACTCTATAGCCCACAATTATGTATATATGTGTCAATTAAAACAAAAGAGAAGCTACATTCATCCCATTTAAAAAACAGAATATGGGCCAGCCTTACTGACTTCCTTCTAATGAGTAGAATGTAGTGAAAGGGATACCATGTGGCTTCCCTATCTCAGACTGTTTTCCCTTGGAACCCTGCCCCAATTGTGAGAGCCATCAGGCCACAAAGAGAGCCTGAAAGTGCCTGTGTCAGTGTTCATGCTGCCTGTCCCAACCAAGTTTACAGCCGATGGCCAGCATCAACCATCAAACAAGTGGGTGACCAAAGCTTCAGAGGATTCCATTTCCCCAACTGATCAGCTGTTCCTAGGGAAGCTGAAGGGAGCAGAGACAAGCTGTCTTGGCCAAGTTTTTCCCCAACCACAGGTTCATGAACAAAATAAATGTTTTTCTTTCAAGCCACAAGACTCTGGGTAATTGTTAGGAAAATAAGTTTTAAAAAGAGACAACAGGAAACATAACTTATGCAGCAGAAAAGAGTCTCCTTTAAAGCAGGATCTAATAAAGGTTGATATTTATTGATGTCAAACATTATTGAGAAGCAGTAGATAACCAGGAGAGAGACATAAGCTGCTGAGGAGGAATTTTCCTAAAACAACTTCAATTATGAACTCTGATAACAAGGCAAGGGTGTCTTCTTACAATTTCCCCTCAAGTTAGGAAGTAAGACTGGGAAGCAAGAAGATGTATGATTTGAAAAACAACTAGAAATACTGGGTGACATAGGCAAAATCAGACATTTACCTGATTTCAATTAACTAAAATTCTAAAAGAAGAAGTTTTGAGTATTTATTAATCAACCTAGTATTCAATTTTCATTTTCTTTTCTAAATGAGGAAATAAGGAGAATATTATGGAATGATTTTTATTCTTCACAGAAGTAAAATAAGCATAGTGTGTTTTGAGTGTTAAGACACAAATGCAATTTCTCCTTTACCTTACTCCAAGCTTGTTTGTATGGAGAAGTAAAAACCATCCCATCTCTATGTTATGCCACAATGCTTCTCTATAGCACACAACTTGGCTCTGAAATTTTGAAACTCAAAATACTAATCTACTATGTGTCTCTGATAAATTGCCTGAACGTTACCTGATTTTGAAGTGCTGCACTCCTAAGACTTTTTCTTGGAATGAATTAAACGTTTTATTCCAAGAATCCTCTACTGAGCTAGAAAGCAGAGCTGTGCATCTCTGTTTCAGTAAAAGGAGGTCAATACAGGGAACTGTGGTTTCTGAGAATGCAAGATCTGCACTAAGAAAAGGATTAGCCACAGTGCTACCCAAGAGAACCAGCTACCAGGAGAAAAGAGGGTCTGTAAACTGCAAGATGATGACTTCACTTGATTTCCACTGAGGAAAGCTGGTGGCTCAGACTTAAACTTCTCCTTCCTAGATGGTAAACATCTATGGAAGGTTCTATGAATTATAATGAGTTAGTAAAACATAATGCACTGAATATTAGACTATGTCAGCAGATCCTGTAACCAAAACTTACTGAAAATATAACTATAGTGGGAGGTAATGGAAAAGAGACTAAAGGCTTGAATGGAGAAAAAAAGAAATTAAGTGTGTCTTGTAAGCCTGGCGTCTGATCATGTCTTAGAGGAAGTAAGGTATAAGCTGGCCAGAGACTCCTTTGTGACACAAAAGGTGAAGTTACAGACATTCCACTAAATTTAATTTTTATTATGACATAAGATAACTGGTAATATGCAACATGATTGAAAAAAACTTCTCATTCAATTCGATTGGGCCTTGACATAAGAATAGACATAAACAAGCTAAGAATTGACAATCTAAAAATAAGCCTGCACTTTTACAGTCAATTGATTTTATACAAGCTTAACAAAAGAACAAAATGGGAAAAGAATAGTCTTTTCAACAAATGGTGCTGGGACAACTGGGTATCCATAAGCAAAAAATAAATAAAGTTCGACCAAATATCTTATTTAATAATTAACTCAAAATAAAATAGTTAACTGTAAAAGCTAAAACTATAAAACCCTCAGAAGAAAACACTGGCATAAATCTTTGTGACTGCATTTGCCAGTGTTTTCTTAGCTATGACTCCAAAGGAAAAATGGATTCAATGGACTTCAAAATTGAAAACTGCTGTGCCTCAGAAGACAGTATGAAGAAGTGAAAAGGTAAGACGCCAAGTAGAAGAAAGTATTTGAAAAGCGTGTATCTGATAAGGGACTTACATATATAGGAAATATAAATAACTCTTGCAATTAATAAATAACAAGATAAGCCAATTTTAAAAAATGGGCAAAGATTTTGAATAGATATATCTGCAAAGAAGATATAAAGATGGATAAGCACATTAATAGATGCTTAATGTAATTAGTCATTAGGAAAATGTAAATCAAAACCACATGTGGTATCACTTCACACCACAGGATAAAATCTTTGTTCAAGAAAAAAGAGTGTTAGGAAAAATGTAAAGAAATTAAAACCTTTATCTAATGCTGCTGGGAATGTAAAGTGATGCAGCCACTTTGGAAAACAAACTGGCAGCTCCTTAAAGGGTTAAGCATGAAGTTACCATATGACACAGAAATTCCAGTCATAAGTATATACTCCAGAAAAATAAAAACATACGCAAACACAAAAACTCATACATAAATGTTTACAGCAGCATTATTAATAGTAGTCAAAAGGTGGAAAGAACCAGAACGTCTGTCACCTTTGGGTGGGAGAGAACCCAAAGGTCCATCACCTGGCGAATGGATAAATAAAATGTTTGATGTATCCATACAATGGAATATTACTCAGCAATAAGAAGAAATTAAGTACAGATACCGTATTAGGAGGAGACAGCAAAATGCCTAGGCAGATACGGAAGGGTCCCCGGAGAATCTCCAACCAGCCCCACAAGTGTTTACACCAGATGTTATGTGCAGATAAGGGAACCTGGACTTGTCTTGCCTGGACATGCCCACAGCAGACCGGAGGCCCACATGCAGTGGGGGGATGGGGTGGAGTCACCAGGAATTCACGCCTTATGCAGAGGAGGAGCCTGGCCGCTTCAGCTCATGTGATCCTGGTATTCAATTGTGAGGTGGAAACCTCTTTGCAGGACCCCTCTCTTTGCTGAGAGCTGTCCTTTCACATAATAAATTCTGCCCTCCTCAATGTGTCTGCATGCTTAATTTTTCCTGGTCACGAGAGAAGAACCCAGATGTAGCTGAACTAAGGAGCAAAAACCCGGCATCAATACCTGCTACAGCACAGATGCAGCATGAAAAATTATGCTAAGTGAAATAAGCCAGTCCCAGCAGACCACTTGCTTTTTATTTCAGAGGCTTATAGGCAAATCTATACAAAGAAGGTGGGTGGTTCCCTAGGGCTGAGGGAGGAAGGGAAAGCTAGTGAAGATGGCTAAATGACGTGGGGTTTGTTTTTAGGGTGATGAAAATGTTCTAAAATTAATTGTAATGATGATGGCATAGCTCTCTGAAAATACTAAAGTTAATGAATTCTATACTTTAAATGAGTGAATTGCATGGCGTGTTCATTATTTCTCAATAAACCTGTTACCCCCCACCCCAAATTAATTTGGTACTAGAGATCTGCAGATAGGTACTGCTTGGTTTCAAATCACTGGCCAGGGTTCAAGGTCTAAGAGAATCAACAACATGTCCTTTTTATAGAAAAAGAGATTTATATTTTACAAGCTATCCTTTTCATTAGTATCAAGTCTGTAAAATTCAATGAAAAATCTTTCTTTCACTGCTTAAAGCACTGACAGATTTATATAGAGGAATAACACCTTGTTTTCCTTGGCCCCAATTTCTATCTAAAGGTCTGGGAAACACACCCTTCAAACTATCAAATCTCATCAGATGGGTTTTATTAACACTTATAATGTGGCTTCCTTTCTAATCTGATTCTGGTGCAGCATCACAGAGAGAAGAAGCTGAAGGAAATCAAAATATTTTACCCCCAAATATATTTTTTGACGTATTTTGAAATGGCTGCTGCAGGGCCAAGAGATTGAAATGGCCCTCATTAAGGTAGCCCAATCTCTCCCCTTCTAGGTCTTCCCAGATCTGGGGAAGATTAACTAAGAGCCTGAGGCATTTAAAGTTTGAAAAGATATATTTACCCTCTATTTTCTCAACATATTTTGGCAGAATTTGGATTTTTCCATTATCAATATTTTCCAAAATGCATGATTTTTAATACCAAAACTGATTTAAAATTACCATACTTTGGAATATAAATTATTCTATAAAGATACATGCATTTGCATGTTCACTGCAGCACTATTCACAATAGTAAAGACATGTAATCAACCCAGATGGACATTATCAGTGATAATGGGATAAAGAAAATGTGGTATATATACACCATGGAATACTATGGAGCCATAAAAATGAATGAGATCATGCTCTTTGCAGGGATATGGATGAACCCGAAGCTGATATCTTCAGCAAACTAATGCAGGAAGAAAAAACCAAACACTGCATCTTCTCACCTATAAGTGGGAGCTGAACGATAAGAACACATGGACTCGGGGAGGGGAACAACAAACACTGGGGCCTGTTGGGGTCAGGAGGGAGAGCATCAAGATCAATAACTAATGCCCACAGGGCTTAATATCTAGGTGATGGATTGATAGGTGCAGCAAACCATCATGGAACACGTTTACCTATATAAGAAACTTGTTGGCCAGACTGGTCTTGAACTCCTGACCTCATGATCTTCCTGCCTTGGCCTCCCAAAGTGCTGGGATTACAGGTGTGGCCACCATGCCTGGTGGCTATTTCTCTTTTTAAATTCTCTCAGGACTCCTAAAATCTCAAAACTTTGACCTAGATTCCCTAATCTACATTTCCAGCTCTGACCATTTTCTTGAGGTCTCTTCCTTCTAGTACACATATTATAGAAAATATTCTCAACCACATGCTCATACATTGCTAATTGGTGCAGATTACTTTTGTAGATATAGTGAATGTTGTCTATTTTATGTTGGTTCTCATTAATGTTACTTTGAGTATACTGTTATTTTCTAATCTCAAAGGGGTACTATCTCACTGTTATGATACTAACCAGTATACTTTGTCCTTTTTTTCTTGCTTTCTTCTTTTTTGGACCAGTATACTTTGTCCCTTTTTTGTTTTTCTTTTTTTCTTTTTTTTGAGATGGAGTCACACTGTGTCATCCAGGCTGGAGTGCAGTGGCACCATCTCGGCTTACTGCAACTTCCACCTCCTGGGTTCAAGTGATTCTCCTACCTCGGCATCCCAAGTAGCTGGGACTACAGGTGCACACCACCACACCTGGCTAATTTTTCTATTTTCAGTAGAGACAGGGTTTCACCATGTTGGCCAGGCTGTTTTTGAACTGCTGACCTCAGGTAATCCACGCACCTCAGCCTCCCAAAGTGTTGGGATTACAGACGTGAACCATGGCACCCAGCCCTCTTTTTCTTTTATGATGAAAACTTTCCCATGAGAATCATATTATCAATTGTTTGCCTTTGTTTTCTTTTAAAGAAATTCCTTTTCCGTAGAGATATGGCATGATGAAAGTCTTGTTCTAAAGTTTCTTTTGGGGGACACTTAACTATGTCATTGGGAAGCTTCAGTAAGTAGAGATCTCCCTTCTTCTCACTCAAGATTCTTCATCTCAAAATGGTGTCCACCAAATGTCTTAATCCAGGTAATCGCTTGTTTAGAAATTCATGAAATAAGAACCTTCTCGAGAAGTTGGAGGCTATTGATTGAGATGGTTTAACGCTGCCCATTATATGTTTTACTCCCAAGGTAGACATCAAAGTGGCTAATAATTCTATGACTGATGTCTAACTCACTTCTATGGGAATCTATACAAAACTTTTTATTTATGAGACAGAGTCTCCCTCTGTTACCCAGCCTGGAGTGCAGTGGCTTGATCACTGTTCACTACAGCCTCAATATTCCAAGCTCAAACGACCCTCCTACCACAGCCTCCCAATGTAGCTGGGACTACAGGCGTGCACCACCATGCCTCAGATAAGTGTTTAATTTTTTTTTTTTTTTTTTTTTTTTTTTTGAGACAGGGTCTCACTATATTGCTCTGGCTGGTCTCAAACTCATGGGCTCAAACGATCCTCCTGCTTCAGCCTTCCAAAACCAGGTGTTTAACTGGGGACTAACATGAAACACTTAGAAGACTACGTGGAACACAGTGAGCTACATAAAATATTTGCTATTAGCATAATAATTTTATTGTATATCTTAACAAAATTGTGTATTTTAGGCAGGTGGCATGCCAATGGAAGTACTCTCCTATAGCTGCACTGAATCATTCTTACCACTGAGAGTTGCAGCAAATGGGGGACATAATTTATAACTTACTTTTCTCTCTGTATGACTCATTAGGCAATGACTATGTATGTACTACAATGTAAACAGCACCTCCTGGATTGAATAGTACATAACTGACATGACCAGCAGAGACAGGCTAAAGACACTGAGCTGAAAACCCTGGACTCTATTGCTAAATCAAGGCTCCTGAATCCGTTCCCTCTGAGCAACTGTTGCTGTGGTGCTGCCTTCACAAGCACTCTGCTGAGCACTCAGATTGAGGGGCTGTGCTATCCATCATCGGACAAGCTGCACCCAGAACTGTTCAGCTGACAAACTGGGAGCAGTCCAGAAATACAGTTCTGCTGCATAGTGAAAAAAGGCCAATTTAGATTCTTTTTCATAGAGAGAAAAACATAAACATGTGATTTAACAAGTCTCCTGTATTAGACTAATTGGTTTAGATTTAATATTTAATTGCTAAAAACACACTTAGAATATAAACCTTACTGTGTCAAGGTCTCAAAGAAGAAATAATTGGTATGGTATAAAGTATTGAATTGTATGCTACAAACTTCTAAGCTAAAATATTTTCAATGTATGCAAGGATAGGTGGCATACATATTATATATTATTCCCCCATTAAGCAAATTTATAATGAGAGAAAATTATCTTCCATAAAAAAGCCATGTAAAATTAAGAACTAAGTTTTTCTGCACAGACTAGACAATGATTGCTAACACATAAGGTCAATGAGAGAACAGTCAGAGAAAGCTTCATGAAAACAATAAATTGTCTGCCACGTCTGAGTGAATGAGGCTAGATGAACAGAAACTGAGAAGGTAGAAAGAATAGCATGAGCAAGATAAGTGCTGAAATCTGCCCAATTAACTCTGAGGATAAGGTCCAATGGCAGAGAAATAAAAACCCATGTCCACATAATAACCTGTAAGTGAATGTTCACAGCAGCATTTTTCATAAGAGCTAAAAAGTGGAAACTAACTTAAAGGTCCATCAACTGATGAATGAATGGAAAACCAGTATAGCCATGGAATAGAACATCATTTAACTATAAGAAGAAATAAACTACCAATGTGTGCTAAAACATTATGCTAAGTGAATTCTGAAAACATTATGCTAAGTGAAAAAGCCAGTCACAGAGGACTATGTATTGTATAACTCTATGTATATGAAATAAGCAGAACAGGCAAACATATGGAGACAAAAGTAGATAGATGGTGGTTGCCTACAACAGAGGTAGGTGGAGGGACATGGAGGAAGGCTGCAGTCATGCCTAGGAGATGTGGGGTTGCTTTTCAGGGTGATGAAAATGCTGTGAATATACTAATAGATACTCAGTTGTACATTTTAAATGGTTGAACTCTCTCAAATGTGAATGATATCTCAGTGAAACTGTTTTTAAAATCCAAAGGCAGGATCAAGATAATTTTCTCAACTCTCAATTTTTGATGTACATGTTATCTCAAATTTAATTATTTCCACAGTTTTATAGTATATTTTAAATAAAAGATAAAGAAAATGCCTAACTTTTCAAATAGTTTGTAAATTAACCTAAAACATGCACTTTTAAAAGAATAGTATAATGGCCTTTCTGTACAAGTTAACCTAGAATCTGTGAAATAAATAGACACAGATTCTGTGTCCACTCACAAAAGTGAAGAAATAAGACAATTTTCTGGAACATTCCATGAAACATTCTTCTCTGATTTAATCTGGCCCGCCTCATCAGAGCAATACAAAAATTACTTAAAAATACTGTTTTAACAGGACAAAAGTCAGTTTTCTATGAGGAATGATGTATAATTCTCAACTTTTCCAAGGGTACATATTGTAAGAGAAAAGATATGCAATGGTTTTTCAAAATGGTAGAATGAAAGTCACTATATAAAAAAATAAGTACATTATAGAGATAGTAAAATGGAAATAATTCATTGTAATGAAAATAAAAAATCAAGCTTCTGCCATAATTAGTATCCTAAAACATGTTATGTAATTCAACTAGCTACAGAATAACAGTTGACATGCTAAGTTCCATACATACTTGACTTTCCACTTGAAATAATTTCTTTTTTGGGACCTGTGTCTCATCCAAATTAATGTGATAATGTGATATGCCTTCCAGTGGAGACTCTAACATAGTTAATTTTTTTAGGCTGTCAGCCGCTTCTTGTTGAAGTTGTCTCACAACCACCTGAGAAAATATTTTTGTTACTGATTTTATAAATTGCCTTATTATTAAATTATGTTAATAATATTTAACTCTAACATACCTACTTTGAAAATTATCACCACACATATCAATTCACCTTCTTTTAATCACATGTACACATTTTTATTTATTACTGAATTCAGTGAGGGATGCACAATATGTTCTCTTCCTGCCAAGTTGGTTTTCTCTTACCTACATAACAGATTCATCCCACCATTCAATCATCTTAGAAGCTCAACTCAACCTCAAAGTTCCTGACATATTCAATCACCTGTTCAAATCCTTCCAACAGATTCCTATCTCAGAATAAAGGTAAAATTCCCATGGCCTTTGAGGTCCTAGGTAAACAGGTCTCTACCTCTCTCTCTGACTTCAAAGCTCCTTCAACTCCCTCCTGTAATTACTCCATTCCCACTGTACGTGAAGCCTGCCACCCCTCAGTCTGAAAATAGGGATCTAATGCCTTACTCATAAATCACAGGCAGCTACAAGTATCTTTGTACTGAACAAAATTATATTCCAATGATAGTCATTGAGCCTTGAAATAAAAATTAGGAGCTAATTATTAATATAAATATTCAAAGTAAACTATAAATACCAGTGGGAAGACTAAACCAAATATAGTTTTGCTAAATATTACCACATGTATCCTAAATTATGATTTTATAACAAGTAGGTGCCTTTGAAACATTACATAGTCATAAAAATATGTAATTTGACATATTTTCAGATTTGTTAAATTAATATGATTAATAACAAAGATATACCAACTAAAATACATAAAAAGCTACTTAAAGCAAGGTATCACAAGACACAGCAATACACTTCAGTTCATCTGGGAAATCTAGAATTAAGTGTTAAAGAAAATCAATTAAATTTTAATTTGAAAATACTCATTTCAGGTGTAAACATTTCCATTTATACTTACATTATGGTCTTAACATGTGGCAACATAAAGTCATTAAAATTATTATTTCAGCAGCACAGAACTATCTACCTTAAAATATGACTCTGTCCCTAATAAAATTTCATAGGTGACACAATGTCTTTTCTCAAAGTAAATCATCTCTCACCTCTACCTTTTATTTCCTAGAAATGAGGCACGTTTCTAAGCTGGTATAGTAAACACGGTTTTCCTTTTTTTTATTAAAACAGCTTTGTTCAAATATAATTTACATACTATAGAATGTATCTGTTTTAACTTAAAGTTAAAAGATTTTTTAGTCCATTTACTGAGTTGTGCAGCCATCTCTACAATCCAACTTTACAGCATTTCCATCACTGCAAGATCCCTCACTCCCATTAGCAGTCACTACCAGCTTTCAGCCCCAGCCCTTTGCAAACATTAGTCTACTTTTTGTCCCTATACGTTTATCTTTTCTGGATGCTTCATGTAAATGGAATTATACAGTATGGTAAACACACTTTTTATCCATTGATTTTTATATTCAACTAAGTTCAACATGTATCCAGAACCAAATGTTTAAATTTTCTTTCTAAAAGTTTGAAAATATTTATCTTCCTTGATACTTACTACTCTTTCTGCTTTCTCTCTCTCATATTGAAAGAGACTTTCTTTTAAATGATCACATTCATTCATTAGCTTCTTATTTTTCTCTTCTAGCATGAGGTCTTTCTTTCCACTCTCAATAAAGCCTCTTTGGATATTAGTTACTATCTCTTTATGATCCTCTTTCTGATGAACATCATCTAGTTGCTGTTCAATGCACGGATTTTCATGTTGGAGATGACATATCCTCTCTTCTACACAGCTCCACTTTCCAGTGGAATTATTCACTTTATCTTCTGCATTTTCATACATCTCTTTCATTTCCTTTATTTGCTGCTGTGTTTGGCTTAGGTCGTTTGGAGAGTTTCTAAAGCCGATGACTTTTTTCTGAGAGTATCTCTTTTCTTACGGAACTTATCTTTTAAGGTATTGAGTTTAATTTGCATTTTAGAAAGTTGTTCAGTAAGAAACTCATTCTTATCTTCTACTTCGGAAATATCAGAACTCATTTTTACTTGTACGGAAACGTCTTGTGTTCACTCTAATGCAAGTTTTAGGTTTCTTTCTGTTTTCACACTTTCACTGTGTTTACTTATAGCAGCAGTCAGTCTAGACTGATGATTCAATTTCAGCTTCCAGTCTTTTGTTGCTTTCTTCTTCCTTCAACAGTTCGGAATTGAGCCTTGTATTCTCAGCTTTGAGATCATTAAGCTCTTGTTGATACCGGAATGCTGTTTTTGTTATCAATTCCTCATTGAGTTTTATATACTTTTCAAGGGCAGCATTTGTTTTTTTAACAATTTTAACGTCCTTAAGATATTTATTTTCTTTTTCCACATTGTCATTTTTCATTGTGCATATTTCCTGTCTGAGTATAGCAATATCTGTCTTCAAAATGCAATTTTCATCCATCAGATCTTTCATTTCTTCCTGATTATGAAAATCCTAAATAAAACAAAAGAAAGTTTTAGCTAGTATGCAATAAAATAACATATCATGATTACCTCCGAAGTTAAAGAGTAACCTGCACATCCATATACTAAAAAGGTTACTGTAAGTGGATATCCAACTGGAGAAAAAGTTGAAGCAAAACTTTGAACCTTATAGAGCATAAGTTCCAAAAAGTTCAGAAATTTATTTAAAGTCAATGAATTTATAAAAGTAAACACACACACACACACACGCACACCAGAGAATTTTTAAGAATTTCAGAATTAGAAAAGCATTTCCCTGAATTACAACAAACTCAAAAGCATAAATTAAAGCATTAACAAATTTGACTAAATTAAAATATATCAAAAAATTGCATTTACACTTTGATATCTAACCCTTACACCACCCTATAGTAAGAACTTTACTTCACATGTATTTGGACAGATAAAATTTCCCAGAGTTACTACAGTTCTATTTCACTGATAACATTCTATTTCAATTTGACTCTTTTAACACTTTTATAGTCAGTTGTAAGAATTACATTTACTAAATCATAAATCTAGACATTATACTAGTCACTCCTATATACATTCATTGATGAACTCATCTAGTTACCAGAATTTTGAAAAAGAAATGTTAAAAATATAAGCAAGATACAGGATTTTCCCCAGGACTTCTGACTCTACTTCTAGTTCTCTGACAGATCACAGTTACTTCTGTGGTGTAAATGTATCAATACGAAAGAAAACTTTTATTTCAAAACACCAATGGTAAATAAGATAAAATTTATAGAGCTCTTCTTAGAATATCATGAGATTATTTGTGATTGCAATAATTTGTTTCCTCTTTATAGTATTAGGTACAGTAATCAATATGAAATAGCGGGAAGTACAAGGAACAATTTTACTGGGAAAAAAATCTTTATCAATAGGTTATCACTAAGTATATATTATGGCATATTATTGTTTTCAAAAGCTCTTTGTAATAAAATAATATCCTATGTGGATGCCAAGATTTATAATAAATATTAATAATTGTACCTGTAAGTGTCATCATTCATTTTTTGAAAATGAGATAACATTTCTGGTTTGTTTTATACCAAAATATTATATATTAAATCAAGAGGATATTATAAGTAACATTGATAAAATAAAGTTTAAAATATAGAATTTTTAACAAAGATTGATTTATCTGATTTGGAGTATTTCTTGTAGTCTTCAGTTTCATCTCTAGTGATTGAACAGTTGGTTCAAGTTGTTTTGCTTCAACTTCTTTCTTATATTGTTTCTCTTTCCTTTCTAATTCTTCTCTATTTTTTTGTACAGCATATTAACATTTGTTTTTTCTTCACTTTCTTGTCTTAAGATGCATCTGCAGATAAAGACATTTATCTTAAAATTCATTTTGTTAAAAAACAAAGAGATCATCCTGTGATCTACCTCTGCAGATGCTCTTTATCATCCTAATAAAATTTCTATGTTCTGGATTATTTTTCCTTTGTAGTTCTCAGATATTTAATTTCTCACTTCAACATCTTCAAACGAATGTATATACTTGAAAAGTAGTAAGGAAAGAATATTCTGCTAAAGTTTTTGTTACTAGTCACTCTAGTATGTATTATAAAAAAGGATACTGGAAATAATTCAGTATAGTTAGAAGTTCAAAATTACCTTTTCAAATCACACAGTCATAATTACTCCCCGATTAGAAAAGGTCATTTACAATCAACTGAATTTTTAAAGTTACTATTTATTGACAAGCGTATAAGTTCACTAGAAATAAATTTTCATCTCTATGAAATATTGTAGGTGTCTCTCCAAATGATTTACAGAGTAAGATGTGTCTCACACAAACTATATCTGCAGATGATTGTCATCTAAAACTAGGCTAAAGAGTATAACATCTGTTACCCCACACTTTTTATAATTCTTTCTTAATACTTCCAATTCACCTTCTTATTACATATATTTTATATATTTATTAAGCTATTGTTCATTATGTGTAATATATAATTAATGCCCTTAATAAGTGTGTGTATGTTTACACAAGTTATGTTTTCCTGTGAAATCTAGTCCCAGAAGTGGAGTTGTTGAGTTAAAGGGATGTCAGGTTATTTGAAATTTTGATACACAGCACTAAGTTACCATTCAGAAATAATTTACCAATTTCATATACCAACAGTGTATGAGAATGCCTTTTTCCTCACATTTTCAATGGTAGTAATTACTTTTTCAATATCAGCATGACTTTACAAAATATATCTTATTTTATGTTAATTTGTATTTTTCTGATTACCAGACAGGGCTAAATATCCCTGGTAAAACTATAAAACTTGTTAATCATAAGGAACATTAGTCCAATTTTGAATTAGTTTATAGCACAATGACAATTATCTGCTGAGAAATACTGCTGTAGGTGGCCAGGCACGGTGGCTCACTCCTGTAAACCCAGCACTTTGGGAGGCCGAGGTGGGCAGAACACCTGAGGTCAGGAGTTCGAGACAAGCCTGGATAACATGGTGAAACCTCATTTCTACTAAAAATACAAAAAATTAGTTGGGCATGGTCGCACATGTCTGTAATCTCAGCTACTAGGGAGGCTGAGTCAGGAGAATCACTTGAACCCAGTATGCATAGGTTGCAGTGAGCTGAGAACACACCATTGCACTCCAGCTTGGGCAACAAGAGAGAAACTCCATCTCAGAAAAACAAACAAACAAACAAACAAACAAAAACACACTGCTATAGGCTTACTTACCTATCATGCTCTTCCTTCAGTTTCTTGGGAAATTGCTGAGGATACGTTTTCCCAACCTTTCTTTGTTTGGTTAATCTGTCAGCAGCAGCAGAAGATGTACTATGACATACATTTTCTGATAGTTGTATTTTTTCACTTTTGTTTGTATTATTTCCTTCTTTGACCTTTAATAAAAGTAATATGAATAATAATTATTATTTTATTCAATAAAAAAACTTTTTCCCTGATTTTTTCACTTGATTCAGGTTAACTATCACCATTTTAATGATAAAAGTATTTTGTGCTTACTTTAATTTTATCATTATACATAATAATTATAAGACACTTATCATTTTATCATTGAAATTTTTGTCAAGTCTGCTCATTTCTGTTTGAGTGAATGGAATAATTTTCCAAAATTTCAAAAAGGACTCTTCTCCATTTTGTGCTTTTATTCGCATCCACTCTTTGCTATCTGATATAAATGTTTATGCTATCTGACTGGCAGAAACAGAGAAATAAAAAGACACAGGCATAACATATATCTTCTGTCATTGCCACCTGGATTTTACATGAAATAGCCAGATTAAGAGGATGTGACCTTGTAGGCCTTCAGGAAGAGTAAAGAAGTTTTCCCTTTTCTGCACTGAGCTATTCTTTTCCCCACTGCCTTTTATCTCTTTTTTTTTTTTTTTTTTTGGATCCTGGGATATCAAAAAAGTGAAAGTTCTCCCTGAACTATGGGAACCAATGTTTGCCACAACACAAGAAGCAGAGTGAAACTGCTGAGTTTCTAATGCAGAATTCTGGAAAACGAGATGCTTCCCAGATTTCACATTCAATTACCACAAACGTTTATAGGTGGAAAACATATGGTACAGCTAACTACTTTAGCCCCATTATCTACTGAAAATGGGAGTCAAACCAACCAAGACATATGAAATGTTTCATCCAGAGCTCTTGAGGTGGCATTCCCTAGCATTTCATGGCACCAAATAACATGATACAATTCCATATTGCTCAATTACATAAATTACCAGATAAATTTATCAAATTAGTCAGATATATTAAAAGTCTAACTTGAGCAAAGCAATTTAACACCTCAGAGGGTGGAAAAAGGCGTGGAAAAAGGCCTCATCTGCTTTTACTTTGAAAGAAGAAAATCTCTAGATTTTTGTCTATCTTTAGAACACAATGTACAGAACTCAACTTTCTACTAAAGAGTCAAAGGCTAAATTTTTAGCTAAGAAATTATGCTTCTTTCTTACATGATAAAAATCATACATGCCAAAACTTACCATACTTTATTAAACAACATAATGTAAGGTCTGATTCAACAGAAATATTGGAGTGGTGATTTTTTAAAATATGTGGAAGTATATATTTGTTTTCAAAATATTGGAAATAACCATGATGGAACTATAAATTCAAACAGTTTGAGCTAAGCAGATAAACTGGCGTGCATGAAAACACATTAAACAGACTCATTTGGCTGGGAATATTCATTGCAACTCTCAAGGCTAGACGTGTTTTTGTGGCTCATCTCAGTCATTGCTTCCCTCCCATTGTATTCCCATTCTATCATTAAATAAATGTAATTCATCTCTAAATGAATACAGAAAAAAAGAATCTAGAATGTAAAGCTTATTTCTTTAGCAATTTCTTTATGTTGATCTGGTTCAGAAGGTCACATGGTATATGGCTGAATTAGTTTCCCAGCTCATATGCCACTTGGAAGACTGAGAGTGAGACTTAGGTTGATTAATGAAGAAACATTATGAGAACATTCTCCAGAACCGTTGTTTAGATAGCAGGACTAATCTACTTTGACACATGATTACACATTTAGAAAACCCCGCTGTAACTGTACACATGAGATTTTCTTGAATAGAAAATTTGACTAAATCAAATAATTGATAAAGAGAAAAAAGAAGCAGCAAGTGAACCTCTGTCTTTTTGAAGTTGGACTTTCTCTTTCTCCAAAGCCAGGAACTCTACTTGTAACATGCCTACCTCATTCTTTTTACTATTATTATACTTTAAGTTCTGTTACATGTGCACAATGTGCAGGTTTGTTACATATGTATACATGTGCTATGTTAGTGACCTTGGAATATCTTGCTGTAAGTCTTCTAGCTATATTTTTGATGTTCTCTCACTATGTGGCAAAGAATAACCCGCATTTTATAATTCAAGATTCATGGTTTTGTAGTTATTAACACTGGGATTGTCATACAGCGGCTTCTGGAATAAGCACTGTGTTGGTTTTCTGTTTTTATAAGTATCTGTAGCAGCAGAAATACTGTGACTTTCTATCTGAATCATATGCTTCATTTCTTTGGGGTGGGTAAACCACAAATCAAAAAGACTTTCTGGATCTCTAGACTGAGACCAATGCCTAATTTCCAATTAGTGGTATTTGGGTTTATATATTTTTCCATTTGCATGTCAAACTCTTAATCATCTTTCATTTCAATCATAATTACTGGGTTCCTTACTTTTTCAGTTTCTATATCATAACAAAAATTTCCATCATCTGTGTTAGAAACAAGCTGTGTGTCTGGTTTGTTATCATTTTTATAGTCTGATTTATTTTAATTTAAATGAAGCTTAGAAGATGACTGGTAAGTGTATTTCAGGGACCTGGAGTGTGAATGGAATAAAAAGATATTTGACATGGGCTTCCTCTGTTCAGGCGCTGCCTGGACTGCCACAGAGCTAGACCCTCCAGATACATTTTTCTCCTCACAATCAGGGACATGATTCATCAGACTAGAGGGCACTCCTTTTTTGTTCATCCCTCTTTAGAGTTACCATGTAGGAGCTCTTCCTCAGGGCAAGCAGTAATTTTGGAGTTTTCAGAACTTTTACCAATATTCAGCTTGAACTTGTTTGTAATGAATTTTAAAGAAAGTCATGAATATATAGATTGATTCCCTTTATCACTGTTCTTACCCAGTTCTGGTTCTTGAGACTTTTTTTGGTGGGGGGCAGGTGCAAAATGGAAAACAAATTTGCTTGTTTTGTTTCTCAGATGTCTTTTCTGTCAGAGTGCATGTTGTAAAATTAGCTTTAATCAAGTATAAACAAAGAAATATTAGAAAATAATTAAAATTTAACTGTGAAACTTAATCTATGTGTTGCTACTCTTAAATTATGGGATTGTAACTAAAAAGTGAAAAATAATTTGCCTTGGCTTAACATAGGACAGAAACATGAACCAGCAATCTGAACTCTCAGTGTCTGTTTGGACTAAACTTAATGCATTTGTGTAAAATCTACCAGAAATGAATTCAAAGATGATAGGTAGTATTATAAAAGCTTCCTCTCTTACAAAGACTTTACCTCAGCATACCAGAAAGAGTGAGCCCCTACAGTGCATGTTTATTTCTGAAGATTAACTAGAGCACTAGGCAAACACTAAATTATTAAGAGCTAAACTGAACACCAGTAAGAAAGAGAAGCAAAATTTTAAATTCTAATTCAAATGTTATACTATGATAGTGTTATGTATCTAGATAGAATTTCTGCTTATATCCACTTCTAATATATTTTAAGTTCCGGTAGTGATAGGGTTTGGATTTTTTAAATTTTAGTAATGCTTACTATGTATTTATGTTGAAATAAAGTTATTGTTCACACCCTGACACCAAAGGTCCCATTCTGCAAGGTAGGATTCTCTTAATAGGCAACTGCATTGACTTTTATGACCCCATTCACTCCCTGAACACAGACACAGAAGTCAACTGGTGACCATAAAACAGAATAAATCTTTAACCTCGGCACTGGTGACCAGCAATATAAAACTGCAACATTTGAAGCACTGGCAATGATGACTCCTTTAACACTAGTTTAACTCAGTGGCCATTGTTGTTAAACTGTTCATAATTTCTATTCCTCAGTAATATGACCCAATACTTCATGTTACCTTGTGTATTATGAGTAAGGTTATATAAATAAAACAGCAAGATAATTCTGAAAATTTCTTGCCTCAATTCCAAGGGTAAAGACAGCTATGAGTTACTAGAGATACTAAGAATTACTAGAATAACTAATAGTTACTAGAGATAGTAAGAATAACTTAAGTTTCATAACTGGTTAAGATGTTTTAAAAATTAAATATAAAATTATGATCTATTGGATTCTAAAGGTATAGTCTGAAAGGTCATGTCATTTGTACTATGCTTTGTTAGTAAAGCAAAAAAAAAACTAATATTAAACAAGAACTTAAATTTTCATATACCTGTGATTGCTTCTTTTCACTTCTTTCACACCTTTCTTGCTCTTCCTCTAAGCCACTGGTAAGGTTTGTTCTGTTGACAAATTCATTGATTTAGTTCAAATGAACTAAGAAGAGTTAGATAAAGACTATAATCTTTATAAAAATAAATAGAGAATAACATTTCTTTGTATTTTATATTTTGAGAGTTTGAATGAAACAATGTTTACTGAAATATTTACTTCTGTAAGAAATACTTCTAATTATCCAAAACTTCAACAAAACACTTGGGGAGACACCAGATATCACCAGATTCAAGCCATGCAAAATCTCAGGGTCACTCACAAATTGTTCCACCCAACATAAGTCAACAAAACTGTTGGAAACAAAACAGAAATTTGAAATACAGTCAAAATATACAATGTAATGCTTTACTATACTTCATAACAGTATCTTTTTAACAAGACTCTAATTGAGTTGGCAGTTACTAATAATTTGCAAAATTATTGTTCTTTATACCTCAATTAGTGTGCACCCCATTTTTTACATCACAAATGTTTTCCCCTGCTATTCTGAAAAATTTATTTTCATCTTTTAAAACTCAGAAAGTAGGCTGGGCATAATAGCTCACATCTGTAATCTCAGCACTTTGGAAGGCCAAAATGGGAGAATTGCTCAAGGCCAAGAGTTTAAGACCAGCCTGGGAACCATAGGTAACCTTGACTCTACAAAAAATTAGACAGGTATGGTGATATGTTCCTGTTGTCCCCGCTACTCAAGAAGCTTAGATGAGAAGATCCCTCGAGCCTAGGAGTCTGAGATTTCAGTGAGTCTCAATCGTGCCATTGTACTCCAATCCTGGGTGATAGAGTAAGAACTTGTCTCCAAAAAGAGGAAAAAATAAAGGCTCAGAATGCTATGTGAAATCTTCCTTGATTCTAGCTATCTTTCTCCACACACACAGGTGTCTGCTTCGTTGGGGTCCCTTAGTACCTTGTCAATTTTTCTAGTGTCTCTTTACCACCTGACCTGCACATCATGTCTTTACATGTTGACCCCCTTTGCTGCTAGACTGTAGAGGACAATCTTTTGAATCATCTTTGTATAAACAGTCTTAATTTTGCTAAATAATTACTTATTGAGTTCCTGCTAAGTGTTAGGCACTGGGGAATAAGGAAGGAAAATAGAAGCTGTCAGGGATGGCTTTCCTAAAGATCATCCATGAGCTGAGACTTAGAGAGTGAGGTTAGCCAGATTAAGCGAGGCAGAGGGCAGGAAAGGGTGAGCACATGCCAGGCAGCAACAAGAGAGGAAGAGAAGCCTCCAAGAGAGTATGTATTTCTCTGCAGAAGAGGAATGGTGAGGGGGCCATTACCAGCAGCTCAGTAATTCCAGAGAAAAAGGCAGATGGGGAAAGGGATACAGATGGAGATTTGGGCAGAAATCAGTTTCCTTTTCTTTTCTTTTTTGGGACAAGGTTATACTCTGTCTCCCAGACTGGAGGGCAGTGGCATGATCTCAGCTCACTGCAACCCGGCCTCCCAGGTTCAAGTAATTCTCCTGCCTCAGCCTCCTGAGTGGCTGAAATTACAGGCGCGTGCCACTACCACCTGCTAATTTTTGTATTTTATTAGAGATGGGGTTTCACCTTGTCGGCCAGGCTGGTCTTGAACTCCTGACCTCAAATGATCCACTTGCCTCAGCCTCCCAAATTGCTGGGATCACAGACATGAGCCACCGTGCCCAACCCAGAAGTCAGTTTCTGAAATCCTTATATAAACCTTTAAGATGCTTGGACATTAGGTATTCAGGAGTGGTTCACGGATCTATTTGCATTAGGGATAATTCACTCTAAATACTGTGAGGAGCATAAAATTCTGAGGCATATAAATCAATGAACAAAGATAAAATATAAGGCAATGTTGCAAAGATGATGCAGGCCTGAGGAGATGTTTTCAGAAATATTTAGGATATAGGTATCAGTGGCCATTATAAGAATGAATTTCTATTGAATAAATACATGTATATATCTGGGTCCCTGGAGAAATACACTCTGCTCATTACTTTACAAATTTTATCAAATGAGAAGTAAAATAATATACATAAACTCTTTCAGTTACTTGTATTTACTTTACCCTTTTTCTGTTTCAGTTTTACTGTGCCAAGGAAATGCATTTGTGTTTTGTGGTGGTTGTTGTGGTTGTGGTTGTGGTTGTTTTTGTTTTTTGAGATGGAATTTCACTCTTCCTGCCCAGTCTGAAGTGCAGTGGTGTGATCTCAGCTCATGGCAACCTCTGCCTCCTGGGTTCAAGCGATTCTCCTGCCTCAGCCTCCCAAGTAGCTGGAATTACAGGCATGTGCCACCATGAACAGCTAATTTTGTGTTTTTAGTAGAGATGGGTTTCTCCATGTTGGTCAGTCTGGTCTCAAACTCTCAACCTCAGGTTATCTGCCCGCCTCAGCCTCCCAAAGTGCTGGGATTATAGGCACTAGCCACCGCACCCAGCAACATATGGGGATTTTGTTTTAAAAGTTCTGTTTCCTGGATCTACCAATCTCATGAGAAAATAGAGCAAACAAGTCATTTGCATGGGTAAGAAACTTTGGATTTATAGCTTTTCCTCACTACTCTAGAAGATTATCATCATGTTTTGCAAAGCAAAATGTTAAACACAGACATAAGGGGAAAAAGAAATTAAAACTATAGGGGTGGGTGAAAAAATATTGCATAATTTATTACTGTTGACCTCATCATATGACTGATTAAGGGCACTGAATTTAACTTGGATGTGAAGTAGACCTCATATTAGCTGCAGTTAATCAGTAGACCAGGCGTCCTAGCAGAATTAAATTTGATGCTCCTGTGTTATCTTTAAATGACACAGCTTTTCTGAAAACCCTTACTCATAGTGCATGATTATCCATTAAGAAAAGGTGATGGAATATGTGAATACAGCTGAGGAGACACCACAAGGCAGATGCTCAGTGGTTCCCATTAATATTGGGAAAATCAACCCTATAAAACAGAAAGCCATAGACATTATTTAATATTTGGCTTTGGGAGGTATTTTTAGTGACACTGCATACAGTTGTACCTAATAATTGCTAAATTAGAGATGTAAAAGTAAAACAAAGTCACATTGTGTTTGAGTAGGAAATCTATAGACATCTAGCTGGTTTTCACATCCAGCCACAAAATTCTAAATATAATCATGGTACCTGCACTCAAATTTATGTTAAATACCAACCTCAATGAAATCACTCTTTCTTCTCATTCTCTTTGTTATTTATATGTTGCTTTCCTTAAGGGAAGAATACAAATGCCTTGCTAAGAACCATTCTGTTTGGTTGTAGGCTGCGTAAGGGGAGTAAACACAAAGTACATTTGACCACAAAATGACTTTTTAAAAGTCAGAAATATGGTAGCATGAAGCCAAACGAGGTAATCTAGAATAAAATTTTCTATGATTCTTTCCCTTCTTTGCTCTCTTTCTACTCTAATAACTGCGATTCACACAGGTAATGAAGAGTGTAATTCCTTGATAGAAACACAGCTCCAAGATTAATCCTTTCTTTAACTATGAAGTTCGCGTGTCCAAAATCTCTGGTAGTTGCTGTCTGATTTTTGATCACTGATGGTGATACAGATATTTATCATCAACTCACAACTTCCCAAATCTTTGAAAAGTCTTACTATTGATGGTTCAACTAGTAGAAACATGATGTAAAATATCTGAAAATAAAGTTTTTATTTATTAGAATGTAAATAATAATACAAATTGTAATAAGGTGTAAAAGTTCTTTCTTCACTGAAGCAGTACCATGTTGTCCTCTACCCCACAAATGCACTACTCCCCCGTGGTCTAATGTATTTTAAAAGTCTTGTAATTGCTATTAACTCAGACAAGTTTACTTAACTTGTTCTAAGCTTCTGGTATTTACTACAGTTTACTTTCAATCACTCAACCAGCTCTGTTATATACGTTGTTTTCCATGAGAAATTTGTTTATTAGTAATTAAGATTCTTCAGGGATAAGAAAATATTTGAATAACTAAGTTTGTGCATAAACACATTAAGGTCAAATACCCATGACATTATTGTGTGTTTCTGTGTACTAGAGACAAAAACTTCAAAAAAAAGTTTAATGAATATACGTTAAATTAAAAACTGCTTTCATTAAACTGAGATAATCTTCCCTCAATGCTGAATACCTTCAGAATTCACATAGACCAACGAATTGTATAAAATATAATAGCCTTAAAAATCTTATTTGTAGCTGGCACAGTGGCTCCCACCTGTAATCCCAGCACATTGGCAAGCCGAGGTGGGCAGATCACCTGAGGTCAGGAGTTCAAGAGCAGCCTGGCCAACCTGGTGAAACCCCATCTCTACTAAAAATAGAAAAATTAGCAGGGTATGGTAGCACGTGCATGTAGTATCAGCTACTCGAGGGACTGAGGCAGGAGAATTGCTTGAACCCGAGAGGCAGAGGTGGTAATGAGCCAAGACTGAGCCACTGCACTCCAGCCTTGGTGACAGAGCAAGACTCTGTCTCAAAAACACAAACAAACAAACAAAAAACCTAATTGTTCCCATATAAGTCTATGTTCATACAAGATCTGAAGAGTACACAACACCGTGAGACAGGACAGACATATATTTTAAAAGTTATATTCCTGGTTTCTGTAAAAATAAAATAGTCGAATTTAAGCTTTCAAGACAAGTCAACGAAAAGAGCAAAAAATGCAAAAGTGAAACTCAAAAGGTCATTTCCCCATCAAGGGCTCATGATCACTGGACATTCACAAAGTATACTGTTCAAAACATTAGATCTGAATTTTGATCCAAGTATCCCTTTAGTAGCAGTTTCATTCAAGGATGTCCAAGAGGTAAAATAAGACAATATCACTTGCTATTTTCAGTTTTCTTTTCTGAGAACAGCCCAGCATTCTTCTTCAGAGAAATGAATTGTCCTAACTTCATAGGCTAAAGGCTCATGAGTCATAGTTCTAAGGGCATTAATAAAATATGGTGGTGCATGCTTGTATTCTGAACTTTTCAGGTTTAAACTCTCATATAGTAAATGCTAATAGATACAAACCGATTAAAGAAAAGCCCTCTTAATCTGACATTATTTTTCTTTTTATTTCTTCATTTATCAGCAACAGGAGAGTCTAACTAAATGTGGTAAAGTGGTATGAGGGAATACAATGAACAGTGTAAAATGAATTAAACCAGAGATAATCACACCAATGTGGGTACAAGTGGAAAATATAATACAAAACACACCAAAGAAAGTGGCAGAAAGGTATATAAAGTATATAACCACTCACATACCACTTTAGGACACAAAAAATTCTGCATATTATTTCTGAGCATCACAATGTAGTTAAAGATTTCAAAAGGACATTGAAATGAAAAACAACCAACTTATGATGTTGGTAGCCTCTATGCAATCATGTTTTAAAAACTTTAACACCAAAAAGGCTCAAAATCACCATTTTAAAAGACTGTGTCTACCAGTCATAAATGAATCATTACTTTCGTCATTTGTAATAGTCAAAGATGCCACAAGCGCACGCATACACACATCTATATATACACCTACACACACAGTCTTGCTCATTAGAACATCTGATAGGCTTCAGATCATCAGTGTAATAACACTAGCAGCAAGCCTCTGAAGTTAAAACAGAAACTAACACTTTAATAAGTAAAGCTTTCCTCTAGGTAAAGATCAGAACTCCAACTAGCACTTAACTCACTGGAAATATCTTAAGAATCTCAAAATTCACTGCTTTGAATCACTGACAAGTATAAAAATTTTATACTGAAAACTTCATGCTATTCAAAACATTAAAACAGAAACATCTGACTTAAAGCTTACATTTTTAAAATCTTTTTTATGCTTCTAAATTTGTTTCTATTCAAATATAGATACCAACAATAACATTTATGTCAATGCCTTGTGTTCAATATTGAACAAATAGAATTAGGAATAAGAATAATATGAGTACATCCAATCATTGAATGTACTTTATTTCCAGTATTCTATTAAATGTACCTGCTCTCAATGTCTATACATTCTTTCTTTGTACTGCTCCTTTCACAGCAGGATCTTCCACTTCAGTGCTAGGCTGAATGAGTTTTAAAAGAAAACGATTCATAAATCACATATATTTTATACAACATGGAGTTAGTGATTCAAAAATATACATAATTAATTACCTTCAAGGAAGGATGTTTTGCAGGAGGCCCTACAAAGCAAAGGGGATATGTCATCAATTATATGTAAGTATGACAGGGCCAACCAAACATTCATGCAGTGTTACTGTCGAGCTGAATTCTCAGGCCTGGCTATAAAAATAATTACTTAAGACTATAAAAATAATTACTTCTTGGCTTCTTATTTTCATTGCCTAGGACAGCAACATGACAGAAACACAATGAGGAAAATAGGAATATAGGATTCCCAAAATGCACAGTTTACATTTCAGTAGTGAGATTATGTTTCAAATGCCTATACTTAAAATAGAAAAGCATTGATATAACCGTGAACACGTGGACTGATGAGGAGAAAAGGGACCATTAAACAGAGGGACAAATCAAACCTGAGAGAATCAATGTCAAAGCTGATGGTGAATGTACAGAGTATTTTAACTCCACACACCAGAGGCACTGCTGCCAGCACAGCACAAACAAATTCCCCTTGTCTTGTCACTGAGGAAATACGCAGTTGGGATGACAGTTCAGGTGAATGTGTGATTCACCTCTCATCAAAGAAAGGGTTCTACATTGATCAGCTAGGATACACACTTATGAAATAACAGCTAATCAAACTACTCATTTTTCCCATGATCACATGGGCTACTGGCTACTGCAGCACCTACATTTCTCCTATCCCCTCACTTGGCCTTGAATTAGAGCTCCTTGATCCACTCATGCAAGGTGGTCCATAAAACACATCAAATAAACCATGTCGAATAAGCTTCTGATATCAAAATATTTATCAAAAAAGAAAACATTGAATGACCACAGACTTGCTGGATATTAATACATATTTATATTTCAAAATCAGTGCAGTATTTATTGAAAATGATAATTTTGGTTTTCATGGAATGAATTTTATGATTACTTCTAAAATTAACTAAGTTTGGTATATTATCTTACACTGTAAAGGACTTTTATAAAACAGCTATCATATCAAAGAACTGGCTGTCTCAAAAAAATTTCGCCAAAGCATCTATATGCAACTTAATCATATCTTATTCACTCATGTCAGTGAAACTTCTCTCCCTGAGGCCTGACAGTTATCAAGTGAAATGAGCTGCTGTGGTTTACCCCAACTCTAGCACTCCCTCCTGTCTCCAGTACTCTCCACAGCAATAACCTCTTTTGTGAGACTGGGCATATGCTGAAGCAACTGGAAGTGAGTTGTCTCAAGTTTACTTGGCTTTAACTCCCAAGACCCCAGCAAATGTCTTTCTTTCCTCCTTTTGTGTCCTTTCACCATCCCTCTTCCTTTGAAAAAATGATTATCAGAACTCTCATCCTGATGCTTCCCTTCCTAACTGCTTTTTATGGATGATTGTGACCACTTTTTTCATCCGTATTCAGCAGTAGTATACACCTGTAATCTCTCTTTTTTCATCTCATTTTCCTTCCCCTGTGGCTAGAATCATGCTCAGAAATAAAAGGAAATTAAAGCTTTCCCTGGATTCTGTTAATTTTTAAATTGCTCTCCAGTGGTTCTTTTTCCAGATTTCTCTAAAGGAAGGCTATTCCCTTGCTATTCAGAGCTGTGTCCAAGGACCAGCACAAACATCACCTGAGTGCTCATGAGAAATGCAGACTCCAATACCTGCTGAGTCAGAATGTGCACTTTCCAGAAGCTCCTCAACGAATTCATGACAATTTGAATGTCCTGTTCTACACTGGTGTGCTTCCATATTGGTTTATCCTAATTGGCCTTTTTGGCCTAGCCTCAACTTCTTTCCTATTATGTCCCTGAATTTAATACTACGTTATAAGCCATAATGTTTCTAATGAACTTTTAATCAGGCAAAACTTCTCTAATTAATTTCTTCCCAATAAATCACCCAACACTATTATTTTCAACTATGTTAATATGATACTATCCTATGAAGTTACAACATTTTCTATAAAAACAAATTATAGCCATACATGGCTGACCATTTACGGTGATGTTCATCTATGGTAGATAAAACACAGGTCTGCATGGTAAAGTACCTCAATCCTTAATGCCTCCCCAGTAGCGACAATGACAGCAAGAGAAGGAAAATGTTACTGTAACTATATGACACATTTTGGTACTGGAAGCTCACTTTATCTTCCTTCCTATTTCTAACACCCTGTTCTTCCTTCTTCTACAGATCAATTTGACTTTACTACCCTCCATTACATACATCCACTTTTTTTATTTATTCCATGTACACTCTGCCCTCCTCATTCTTTCTTTCTCTTTTATTCATTTCCTCTTCCCTCTCTCCTGACTTGCCTCAGGTCTTAAGAGTATGTTAAAATGGAACTCATAACTCAGCTCCTTTAGTGGTACTTCCAATAGAATCAACTGCTGACCCTTGGTTAGAGACACCACTTATCACCATTTCATTTCTCTTTTACTTATGATACAGTTAATAGGACATTTTCTTTAGCTATTAAACTCTATTAGTGCTCATATTTTAAAAGAAACATTCCATCAATGCCTTTTTTTTTTTTTTGAGATGGAGTCTCACTCTGTCACCCAGGCTGGAGTGCAGTGGCACGATCTCCGCTCACTGCAAGCTCCACCTCCCAGGTTCACACCATCCTCCTGCCTCAGCCTCCCGAGTTGCTGGGACTACAGGCACCCGCCACCATGCCCGGCTAATTTTTTGTGTTTTTAGTAGAGATGGGGTTTCACCATGTTAGCCAGGAAGGTCTTGATCTCCTGACCTCATTACCCGCCCACCTCAGGCTCCCAAAGTGCTGGAATTACAGGCGTGAGCCACCGCGCCTGGCCTCCATCAAATGACTTTTTAAATAAAATACGGTTCTCACCTTTTCCTTTTCCATTGACTATTCTGTTTCCTTTTTCATGAGAAGGTCCACGTAAAGGCTCTGACACTTTCTCGGGGACACACTGCTAAGGTAATATCAAGAATTAGTTTCCATTTAAAATTATAATGAGTTGCATCAAGAGTTTCTTATCAATCTCTTTTTATGAAACTGGGTCTCACTCTGTCAACCCAGGGCTAGAATGCAGGGGCCTGATTATGGCTCACTGTGGTCTCAAACTCCTGACCTCAAGCAATCTTCCCACCTCAACTTCCTGAATAGCTGGAACTACAGGTGCATACCATCATGTCATGCTAATGTTTTTATTGTTATCTTTGTAGAGACAAGGCCTCATTATACCTCCCAGGCTGGTCTCAAGCTCCTGGGCTCAAGCAAATCTTCCACTTCTGCCTCCCAAAATGTTGAGATAAGCAGTTTGCACCACCACACCCAGCCCTAATCAATTTCTTTAAATCAATCTCAATGTTGCCCAGGCATGGTGGCTCACACCTGTAATCTCAGCCCTTTGCAAGGCCAAGGTGGGTGGATTGCTTGAGTTCAGGAGTTGGAGACCAGCCTGGGCAACATAATGAGAACACATCTCTACACAAAAAATACCAAAAGGAGTCAGGCATGATGGTGTGTGCCTGTAGTCCCAGCTGCTTGGGAAGCTGATGTGGGAGGATCACTTGAGCCTGAGAGGTGGATACAGCAGTGAGCCAAGATCATGCAACTACACTGCAGCATGGACAACAGAGCAAGACCCTGCCTCCCCAAAAATTTCAATTTAAAATGTGAGAACAAAGAGAGATACAAACAAAAAACAAACCTAATTAGTCAATGAAATATGAGCTTAAGCCAAGAAAGAAAATGAAAAACATGAAGTACAATAAAGTACATGGGGAAATAGATCTATAACAGAGCCTTCGGTCTTTCATAACTCTGATAATACTAATTAATATTTATGCTGCAATTACTTTTTTGTAAGTACTTCTGTGATAGTGTTTCTTACTATAAGACATTCAATTAGCTAAATATGGTCATCTGCCATTACCTGAAAGAACATTATTATAACAGAGAGAGAAAACTGGAACTTTCCATCAACTTTCCACCCAGAAAAAGAATTGATCACCAGAATTCTAAAGAGTAATGTATGGCAGACACATGAAAAAATGCTCATCATCACTGGTCATCAGAGAAATGCAAATCGAAACCACTATGAGATATCATTTCACACCAGTTAGAATGGCAATCATTAAAAAGTCAGGAAACAACAGGTGCTGGAGAGGATGTGGAGAAATAGGAACACTTTTACACTGTTGGTGGGACTGTAAACTAGTTCAACCATTGTGGAAGACAGTGTGGAGATTCCTCAAGGATCAAGAATTAGAAATACCATTTGATCCAGCCATCCCATTACTGGATATATATGCAAAGGATTATAAATCATGCTGCTATAAAGACACATGCACATGTATGTTTATTGTGGCACTATTCACAATAGCAAAGACTTGGAACCAACCCATATGCCCATCAATGATAGACTGGATTAAGAAAATGTGGCACTTACACACCATGGAATACTATGCAGCATAAAAAATGATGAGTTCATGTCCTTTGTAGGGACATGGATGAAGCTGGAAACCATCATTCTGAGCAAACTGTTGCAAGGACAGAAAACCAAACACCGCATGTTCTCACTCATAGGTGGGAACTGAACAATGAGAACACTTGGACACAGGATGGGGAACATCACACACCAGGGCCTGTCATGGGGTGGGGGGAGAGGGGAGGAATAGCATTAGGAGATATACCTAATATAAATGACGAGTTAATGGGTGCAGCACACCAACATGGCACATGTATACATATTTAACAAACCTGCACGTTGTGCACATGTACCCTAGAACTTAAAGTATAATAACAATAATAAAGAGTAATGTATGGCTTGAAACGGTATATTTAATGGAACATGAGTTGGGTCTAATAAAAAGCTTAAGAAATGTTAATCTAAAATCTCAATGTTAAGATTCCAGTTGAATGATACTAGAAAATATATTGTAACCCTCTTTGCTACCGATGACCTATTTCTCTTTTATTTCTTTTTTAATTATGGCATAATTTCTCAACATAACATGTCAAAACTTATACACCCTTAAATATTAAAAAATAATACAATGTAAGCAATATTTTAAATACAATATTTAATGATTAGATACATTAGGTTTATTATATTACTTATAACATTCCATTATATAAAAATTCATTTGTTTATTTATTCAGATTAAACAGCTATTAAGGCTGAATGTCTCATGTCTGTAACCCCAGCACTTTGAGAGGCTGAGGCGAGCAGAACACTTGAGCCCAACAGTTAAAGAAGAGCCTGGGCAACTAGGCAAAACCCTATCTCTACAAAACTCAGCCCAGCATGGTGACACAAGTCTATCGTGACATAGCTCTATTGTTTCAACTACTTGGATGGCTGAGGTGTGAGGATCACCTGAGCCTAGGAAATGGAGATCGGAGTGAGCCAAGATCTCACCAGTGCCCTCCAGCCTGGGTGACAGAGTGAAACCCCATCTCAAAAAACAACAAGTAAAATGCTTCTTACATGGAAGACTGTATTCTAGGTACTCCAGGATACACACAAATATGTTTACTGACCTCCAGTAGCTTACGGTATGCAGGAGCTTCCAATGATCATTTAAAAAACTAAATAGAAAACCTTCTGACATTCAAACTTTCAGAATATGATATAAGGACTTTGAGTGGTTATTTTATTTTATTTTATTTTTTAAGATGTAGTCTTGCTCTGTCACCCAGCCTACAGTGCAATGGTGCGATCTTGGCTCACTGCAATCTTTGCCTCCTGGGTTCAAGCGATTCTCCTGCCTTGGTCTCCTGAGCAACTGGGATTACAGGCATGCACTATCATGCCTGGATAATTTTTGTGCTTTTTTTTTTTTTAGAGACAGGGTTTCACCATGTTGGCCAGGCTGATCTTGAACTCCTGACCTCAGGTGATCTACCCACCTCGGCCTCCAAAAGTGCTGGGATTGCAGGTGTGAGCCACCACGCCTGGCCAAGTAAATATTTTAAATAAACTACAATGACAAAATTATCATGATAAAGACTTACCATATTGGTATTAAGAGTCTCTGCTTCTAGAACTGGTTATTTTCAGGAAAATACATGTTATTCAATTAGATGAAGTGTTTTATATAAACTCTTCATGGACAACTCATAAATCACATAAAAACCCCTTTGCAATACAAATCTTGAGAACATAAATTTAAATTTCTACATTTCCACAATTTATATTTTTAAATCAGATACAATGTTGCCCAGGCTGTTCTCAAACTCCTGTGTTCAAGCAATTTTACTGTCTCAAACTCCCAAGTAGCAGGGACTACAGGTGTACACCACCAAACTCAGCTATTTTTCTACAATTTTTAATACATTTTTAGTCTCACTACAGAACCAATAATATAAGTAGAGAAACAATCTCTCCTAAAAACTATATGACACCAAAATGATAAGTTTCCAAGAACAAAAGCTATATGCTATGTGCTGAACATTTTTGCCACTAAAAATTACCAGGAGGATTCCATGATTACTGCAAACAATTTGATCCACTGAAGATTTATACAGGAATAAATATTAAGAAAGTCACACTCGTATGATTTAAAAGTCAAAGTATTAGTATTTATCCAAATGAAGTTTAACCAAATTTCATATTTCCTCTATTGGAGAAAGCATTTCCTAATGTGATTTTCCTGTGACTACTTATTTTCCAGTTCATTTATTTTTCAGCTCCCACCCTGTCACAGTACTTACCAATCTTTATTAGTTACCAAAGTTAAACACATTTTTTGAATCAACTAGCCATGTGTATGTTTTTCTCTGACCAGCTTTCCATTAACACCATAAAACAATGATAGGTAAACCACTGCTAAATTTGAAAAGTAAATACTATGCAAAACTACACTCAGAGTGAGAAGATTAATTTTACAAGAGACCACTTTACCTTAGTAGCAACACTCAAGTCTTCATCATCCAATGTAGGCAATGAATCCACACACAGTTCATGCAAAATGCTTGAGAGCAAAAATACACAATGAAAATGAGCAAGTTGATTTCTTTATAATTTTTTCAACTGCCAGTTTATATCCAGCTTCCCCCTCAAAAAAAGGAAAACATAATCTGGGGAAAGGTCAGTGATCTATATATTAAATTATGATTCTTGATATAATTAAAATATGTCCTCTGTTCTAAAAATAGATTTTAGTTACCTATTTCTGCCTCCACCTGTCTAAATCTATAAAATATTCAATGAAAACTAACCTTGAGGTTTATAACAAATAGTGACAGTCAATATATTGGCAGAGCCTGACAATAATGTGCCCTCACAAATTATCTGTCCTGAAGCTGAACTTAAAATTCAATTAATGGATGACATAAATTTTGTTCCCTAAACTGGAATAAAACTGATGACCTAAAACAAGGTAGAAAGATCCACTGTCTCTTTTCCGTGATCTGTCTCTGGATAAAAGACTAATCTACATCACTTCAAAATGGTAGTCTTGATTCCTCAGCCTGGATCCAACTTAGGAAGGTCCTATTGCTTTCCTTTACCCTAAATTGGTACAGGAAAGCCCCCACAATATTTGAAATGTATGAAAGCTAAATGTACAGAAGTCAAATAGCAAAGGTGTATGTTCTTATTGAGAATACTTTTCCCAGAAAGATTAAAATATTAACAATTATAAAATCCCATTATTTTCACTCTATAGGTCCTACCTTATTCAGGTCCACATAAACTAGCAAGCCCTTAAAAATTTTCATAGGCACTCAGACACCCAAGGAGAGAGACTGCGAGAAAAGAAACAGTGTCATGATAGTTGTACCTCTATTTCCCTAAGTACTATCTAAGTATATTTCTTCCTATGGACACCCACTTCCAGATTCTACTTCTGCAGGGTTCCACAGAAGTCTCCAATCTTCAAATCTTCAGTGTATGAAAGCACAGATTCCTGAAAGAATGGCCTCAAATGACCAGGAGTAGGAGCTCTCTATATCCCTGCTCCTGAAAAACAAGCTAACTGGAGTCTCCATCACCTGCCACCAGCTATACACACTACCAACTACCCAACTGAACTCCATGACTGATTTGCCAGCTAATCATGCCCCTGACCCAGCCCACCTGGACATGGGAAGGACATCAGTGAACTGTGAAAAGAGGCAGAGGTGAGGAGACACCTGCCCTGTGCCACACATCTATGTAGTTCAGCAATTTCCAGCCCCTTAGTACTCCAGGGGCTCTAAGCCACCCCTTTGTAAGTCAGGATGGAAGTAGATGACACCACATTTCTATCTGCTGTAGACATTCTTCCCAGTGTCTCAAAATGTTTTGGCATCTTTCAGTAAAAATCTTCAAGTTTGTCAGTCCTTGATTTAAAAAAAAAAAGCAGCAAAATTTTTAGAGCTCCCTTGAACCTTCTATTTTAATGTGCCTTTGTAGATAATTGCCAACATCTTGTGTCCTTCATTTTTATAATTTATCTTTATCAAACTTGTCATAAACCCCAATACTTTGATCTCTTGTAGAAGAGTCCGTACTCCTATCCAATCCAGTGTTGTTTATCTTCAAACTTGGACTTCCCCTGCTCATTCCATTCTTATCTACTTCCATTGGGTTCACCAGCTAATTCCATTCTCATTCTATCCACAGGCTCACTCCCGTTTGTATTATTAAAACACACGCCAATAGGACATAAAAAGAAGCAAGAGTACTGGGCTTTACCATGAGTTCAAATCTCATTTCTGCCAATTCCTATGTCTAAAAAAAAAAAAGCTTCCTAATCTCTTTGAGCCTCACATTCTCTATCTAGAGAATCACTTGACCAGAATGTTCAACGCAGATAAAAATACTAGAAGGTATTTTAATTCATTCCAAGATTCCTTAAAATTCTGTAATTCTATGTCCTCTTGATTCTGTCTATAGGAAAACTTGGAATACATAGGCAGCAGAGTTTGAAAAAATAATAGAACAAAAGAAACACCAAGAATAACAGAGAAGAAAGTTTTAAAAAATGAAGACAAGATTATATAAAAGTCATGGAAAAAGCAACAAGACTAAAAAATGTATTATGGAAGTAAGCAGAAATACTTGCCTAAATGGAAAACCAAACTGGGAAGTCAAATAATTTGTCTCTAAGACTTGCCTAAACTTGCTTTGGTAAAACTTACAGTCCTATGGCCAAAGCTAAGTCAGATCTGCCCTAGAGCCTTTGAAGGTAAAAATAAGATACTAGTTACCACTGAAATCGTCAAATTTATTAGGACTAACCACATTCTAACAATAAACTTAAATGAGAGTTCAAGGTATTTAAACTCTCATTAATTTAGAAGTTAATCAAATTAATGAATCCGATTGATCTGATTCAGACCTATACTTTGATCCAAGGGCTGCACAGATATCTATCAATCTATGCTGAGGAGCAAGAGAAAGGATTTGGAAGGCAGGCAGGCTGATGGTCAAACTGTAGGCCAGCTACTTTGTTAACTATGGGATCATGAGGCAATTAATCAGCTCTAATCCATAGTTGTTTATTTAACAGTAGGTTATAGGAACACAGATGTTATGATGGCTTTATGAGATGATAAATGCATAGAACATATTAGGATGTCTAGCCCAGAATACAACACTCAACAGATATTAGTTTCTTCCATCTATATTTTCTTAGTTAACATAATTTTTTAAATCTATGAAATCTTACCTGACTGCAGATTCATCAGAAATTCCAACATCTATTAAAGAAAAAGGTAAAATGCATTTTAAATCAATAATAAATGTACAGAATATTAAAATCATAAGAATGCACAGTGATGCATGCCTCTAATCCAAACTACTTGGGAGGATGAGGCAAGAGGATCACTTGAGGAGCCCAGAAGTTTGAGACCAGCTTGGGAAACATAGTAAGACTCTACCTTCATAAAAAAATTGTGCACACTTGTGTGTATGCTTTAGATCCTGTTTTTTGTTGTTGTTGTTGTTGTTGTTGTTTTGGTTTGGTTTGGTTTTTTAAAGCATAAGACTGACGCTTTGTTACAAAGCATTCCTTTGGGAGCATGCCTGGGACGTTATTAGAATTAACATTCATTATATGTATTGGTAGGTAATTAATGCAGTAAGAACTCTTCCCTCTGTATTTATTAGATGCAAAGAAGAATACATTTATTAAAATTTGGTATCTACAAGTGAACTGCAGTATACAAGTCATCCTAGCCAAACCCTATGAGATTGAGTAAAAATGGTATTGTTAGCAGAACAGGTGTGATGAGTCAACAGTGTCAAAGAGCATGATTTCTGGACCAAAATATGAGGGGCCATTACAACAGAGTATACACTAGTACCCCTTATCCACTATATGTGCAGAAAGACATACTTGACACGTTTTTCTCTGCTGTCACACCACAGCAACAATCATCAACAAAGAAGGCTTCTGTGACCAAATGTGTGGAGAGTTTTTCCCCACCAACAAACAAGCAATCATTCCTGCTGATGACACAATTCAATTCTCACACCTTATCTACAGATAACATCGGATTTAATTTAATTTATAAATTAAACTTTGTCATAGATATGTATGTATAGGGAAAAACAGCTTGTGATTCAGTACTATCCATGGTTTCATGCATGCACTGGGGGTCTTGGAATGTATCTCCCACAGTTAAGGTGTAGTTACTGCACTTATTTTGTTATAACGCAACACAGTCTCTCTAGCTCTTCAGTTCAAACTGTTTAGTTTAGAATAAAACATGCTATCACCAGAAACTAACAAAACATAGGAATCAGACCAGAAACAGGAATCCTTGCAAAGACTTTCCAGCCACCAGTGGAGAAGATCTCAAGAGAGATCAGTGTGTTACTCTGGCTAATACTCTTCTGGGTAAGGTGCTGGGTGGTTTCCTTAGTTGTAGCTATTTGCTCTGGCCTACGTATAACAAGGCCCAAATTCACCTGCCATTTTACCTCCCACAGAAAGAACCACTGGAAAGATCACTCCTTTAAGAGCTTATCCACATTCAGAGAGAAGCTGAATAAACACTGGGGAGGTATGGCAGGCTGCTGGGCAATATTATCTGATGTGAAAAAATATATAGAAAGAAAATTATCAATGCCCTTTTACTACCAGAATGTTCTAATGCTTGCCCATCTCCCTAGTAGGAGAAAAAATTTTTTTCACCTCGCATAAAGCAAAACTCCCTTGTCATCTCTCATGACAGAATCTATTTTTAGGTGAGTCATGTCATCATAATACAGGCTGTTGTCAACCTCATCCCTCAAAGGAAGAGGATCAGTGAGGAACTTATGTATTTACCTAATAGCATTCACTGCCTGGTCTTATTTCCAACCGAAGGTAAGTATGAAAGACTTTGTGATTCCAGTTTTATAAAGCACAACCCTTTACACTTGTCCCCTTCCATTGCTAAAGAGTCTATCTGGACCCACCTCACAGAGCAAGATGCTCCAGGTTGTGCTGTGTAGTACGGCGTGATGTCCTTTTCCTCAACCCTTTCTATTATGTGCCACATATCTATAAAAATCATGTTTTCTAAGTATGTAAAATCATATCTCATCAGAATACATCATTCTTTACAATGATAAAGAAGCAAAAGAAAAACAAAAGGACAAAGAACATCTTAAATGACTACATTCAACTGCCATGGAGCTTTAATTTTTTAACTACTCAAAAAGATATCCACTCTTCTTATTCCAACTATATGACTCTTCTGAAAAAAGTAAAACTATGAAGACAAGTAAACATCAATGGTTGTCACGAGTTGCTAGGGAGAAAGGGAGAGATGAACAGACATAGCACAGAGAATTTTTAGGGCGGTGAAACTGTTCTGTCGATAATATTACAGTAATAGATACATGTCATGTCATTATACATTTGTCCAAATTCACAGAATGTACAGCATCAAGAGTGAGGCCTGATGTAAACTATGAACTTCAAGTGATTATAATGTGTCAATGTAAGTTCATCAGTTGTAACAAATGGACCACTCTCTGGTGGAAAATATTAATAATGGGGGAGGCTATGCGTGTGTGGGAGGCATGGGATATATGAGAAATCTCTGTACCTTCCTCTCAATTTTGCTGTGAACCTAAAACTACTCTAAGAAATAAGGTTATTGATTTAAAAAAAATATTCAGCTGGGCTCAGTGGCTCATGCCTGTAATCTCAGCACTTTGGGAGGCAAAAGTGGGTGGATCACCTGAGGTCAGGAGTTCAAGACCAGCCTGGCCAACATGGCAAAACCTCATCTCTAATAAAAATACAAAAATTAGCTGGGCATGGTAGCTGGCATCTGTAATTTCAGCTACCCGGGAGGCTGAGGCAGGAGAATCGCTTGAGCCTAGAAAGCAGAGGTTGCAGTTAACCAAGATGGCACCACTGCACTGCAGCCTGGGAGACAGAGTGAGATTCTGTCTCAAAAAACAGAAAAGATATTCACTGTCTATGCATCCCAGGATCTCCAGAACAACAATTAAAATAAATAAATAAAAAAGATGGCTGGGGGCAGTGGCTCATGTCTGTAATCCCAGCACTTTGAGAGGCTGAGGTGGGTGGATCACCTGAGGTCAGGAGTTCGAGAGCAGCCTGACTAACATGGTAAAACCTCATCTCTACTGAATATAAAAAATTAGCCGGGCATGATGGTGCATGCCTGTAGTTCCAGGTACCTGGGAGGCTGAGGCAGGAGAATCATTTGAACCTGGGAGGTGGAGGTTGCAATGATCCAAGATTGTGTCATTGCACTGCAGCCTGGTCAACAAGAGCAAAACTCTGTCTCAAAAAAAAAATAAGTAAATAAAATTAAAAATAAAGATATTCACTGAACCTGTTACTATGATATATTTAAGCAAGACACGGTGACCCTAAAAATTAGAGATCATTGAAGACCAAAGTAACAACACGTGGTCATTATTTCTCAAATTGAAGTATATAAAATATATAAAATAAATAAATTTAATTGCATGCTTAGGTAAGAAAATATTGATAAAAATGATTGAATATTTTATCTTATTTCATAATTCTAAGCAGGGCTTTAGCACAATATGAAAACTAGATTATTCATGTAATCCAAATAAAAGACAATTTTTATTCTAATTTTAACTCAGAATTTATTTTGCTTATTTAACAATTTTACTGAAAGGTAAATGAGATAAATAGGACAGATTATAATTACCTAACATTGCTATGGTAACTTATGTACAAATAGCTGTTCGTCACTGAAAGTCAAAAAAGTAACCAGCGCTGCAACTTAAAATGGATCATACAACAGAAATTAGTACCAAGTTACCTTATCTTATAATATTATGTTATTAAAATGAAATTTTAAAACAACACCAAAAATTAAGTTGGGGCTATACAAAGTGTGCAGAAAAGATTTCATATAACAGGCAAGAGACTGCCATCCTTAGAAAGGCCTGCATGCAAGGCTGGCCCTTGGCTGGTGTTTAGGAAATTGGAATTGGGAGGGTTTCCACCATTCCGTGAGAAGAGTGGCTCACTGTGTCTAAAGTTTTTATAGAAACCGCCAATGGGTGAAATCCAAAGCAGCAGCTGGTGTATCCATTAACATTCTCAAAACAGGATGCATCTGGACCCCTGTGTGCAATCTTCATAGCACACAGACACTAAACAGAAAGGCAGTCATTGCTGCCAAACAGGACCCAAATGCCACACACAGTGCAATGAAGCTATAAGCTCCCTAAGGAGAGAAAAGTAGACAAATAAAAAATATTCAATATCCAATCCAAGTCCACATTAAATCTTGATTCCAGAAACGTGCATTAACCACTTCAAAGACTAAAATTTAAACCATCTTTTCTATAGCGATTTCCCATTTGGTTGGCAGGCATACAGGAGTAGAGAATGATTTAATTTACTTACAAGTATTCAGAAAAGATAGTGACCTCTACATTCAACCAGCTACAGCAGCTTAGCACCCAGCCAAAGCCTGCATCTCTCCCACCTTAAGATTTAGTGGTTGGCTAGAGTTAGCAGCATCCAGGCCACATCTATCTCTGCATTCTAAGTTTGCTTCCAAGATAAAGATACAAATGCAGGCTGGCTCCAACCTAGCCAGAGATCCCAGCCCCACTCTCTGCATCCCAAAATCCCTCAAAGACCCAAGAGACTTTCCAGATTTCTACAGTCTCCTCAGAGGTTCCCTTGACAGTTAAATGCCCTCTCTTTACCTCAACTAGCTGCAGGTAGAATATAATGGGTACAGCAGAAAGTCACTGTAAGTGTAATATGAAGATACACAGCCCTTTTAAGCATTTCATTATATTACATCTAGCTTACTTCTAAGTGATTTATTCAGTTGTGACTGAAGAAAGTCTAAAGGGAAAAAAAGCAATTTAATTTGATAAATTAAATTATCAATTATAGCCAAATTATTTGGCTATAACAAATTAAACATTTTAAGCAGACAGAAGATGCAAACATTTTAAGTTGACAGAAGATATAAAATGTTCACTATCAAAATGTCGCAACTGATAAAAATGTTCTCAAATATTTCTGTCTCAAACTTGCATTGTTCATTAAGGAAGCAAAATAGGTGGGACATACACAGCAACAACATCCCTCAAAAAACACCTTGGCTCATTCCTATAAGCCAGGCAGCAAATACATCATCCTTACATATGTTAATTACCTTCCAATTTCAAATTCTCAACTGTGAAATAAAGGACCATTTTATTTGGCTGCTTCCAGTTCAATATGACTGTTTTTATTAAAACATCTCTAACTTGAAAAATATTTGGTGTTTTCTAAAATACTGCAAATTGCCACAAATGGCCAGATAATTTGGAATAAACACCCTACAGAAAAAAATATATATTCAAGTTGCATAAGTCACTTTGAGCAATCCTTTGAGGATATTTCATTTATATCTAAATGAACCACAGGTTTAGCTGGCTTTTCTGGAAAACCAGAAGCAAATAATGTATGATTATAATGAAAACCATCTCAAGCAATGTTGAAATGAAGTACCACATGTCTTATGCTGTCCCTTCCATGCACTTGACAAAACAGCCTATAACAAATTGTTTACTTTGAGATTTAGCAGGAAAATTCCATGAGGTTTAAATGAGATGACTAATAATAAGCCATCTACCTTTGACTCTATTCCAATTAAAAATGGGTTAGGAAAGTGCTTTGAAAATCAAGTGTGTTCATCAGGGAATCATTTACCTAAGTCTTCTTAACACTGCTTAGTGAATATTAAGCCTGATATAGTAAATACACGCTAACCACTAAATTGAAGGGGAAAGAGGGAGAACAAAGAGACATGTAAAGTACACTTACTTTTTCTAGTAGGAAAAAGCCAATTAAAACTATCACCTATTAGTTTTATTGGAATCAGTCTTACAGGAGGTCAAACTTCCTACTGTCGCTACCTATTCTCAATATTTTTCTTATTTCTTCCTAAACTTCTAGAGCCGTGCTGTCCAATAAATATGTGAGCCACATATGTAATTTTAAATGTACTAGTAAGCCCCATTAAAAGGTGAAATTAATTTTAAATATACTTAACTCAGTATGTCCCAAATAGTAATCATAGTAATAATTTTAACATGTAATCAATATAAAAAATTATCAAGCAGATATTCTACGCTGTTCTTCCCACTCCAATGACAAAATCCAGTATATTTAACACAACACATCTCAATTAGGACTAGCCAGGATTTCAAGTGCTCAATAGTTACAGGTGGCTAGCGCCTACTGAATTGGACACTGCAGTTTCAGTGCATTGAATTTCTATCCCACTTAGCGCTAATTAAAACTTCACCCTCTCACCTGATAATTATGCTAAGATCTCAGAAAGTAACCCACTACAGGCAGTTTCAAGCCCTAATTTACCTCTAATTACTCTTACAGCAATGCGATGAATCATGATTTAAAATTAAAAAAAAAATTGCTGTTAAATTATTAGTCAAGCGCCCAGGGCAATGGACAGTAAAGAAATAATGTAGGCCATGGGCCGAGATGACAAAACGGTCCTTTTATTTAAAGCTATAATAATAATCTGAAGCCAGCCCTGTAAAATAGACATCCATTGAAAAAGGCATGCTAGTTCTTTTGCTTTTTTGTGTACTTGGCCTCCTGTGTCCCTAAACAGACCTCTTCTCAGCAGGGTTTGCTCAGCAAGTCACTTGTTGAGTCTTGCAGTCAACAGAGGGGGTAGGGAATGGCAGGGACTGGCATAGGAGTGAGGGGGAGGAGGCAAAGTGAGGGGGAGAAGGCAAGGTGAGGGGGGCCAGGTGAGGAGGGGGGCACTTCAAGGGGAGTTAAAGACCAGCCTGGGCAACATGGTGAGACCACCGTCCCTCACCGCCGCCATCTCTGGTCTCACTCTGGTCTCACACACATGCACAAATTAAATTTAATTTAAAAATTAAAAAATTGTTTTAAAATAAGTGGAATATTTACATGGATTATGTATACATTCATTTTGTAGAACTATAGATCCCATGTAACTGGGAACTCTTTACTCTTCTAACACAACATTTATTTAGCCACAAATGAAAGACCAGTGATGTAGCCTGTACACAAAAAAGTAAGAAAACACTGGTTAGGCTGGGGCATGGGTGGGGGGAAGAGATCTACAAATTTAAAATTTTATTCGGAAGGATCACTATTTAGAATCAGAACAATTACTGCTTTAAAGTAGTTAAGAACAGAGCACAAGGAACCCAGAGAAGAAGCAGATATGATTCAGAGCAGAGCTTACAGAGCAGATGGTATCTGAGCCGAGACTGATAGAATAACATTAATAAGGGCATTCACGGCCATTTATTATCACTTAACTGCAATGCATTTTGTATAAGTTATTTCTACTCTTCATATCAACCATGGAAAATAATACTTATTCTTCTCTTTTGAAGTTAAAGAAGTGGTAAGTGGTCTAAGAAGATAAATTAACATACCAACACCAAATAGCTCAAGTTCAGTGACTCAAGAGGGCCCGCGTCTCCCCAAGAGGTTGCTCAGCAGGCAGACGAGGTAGAGAGCCCTTCCAAGAAGTGACAGTGAGATGTGAAAGGTCTCAGTGTGTCTCTGAGAACAACAGAAACCAGTATGTAGACCAAGTGGGAAAAGCCACGGAAGAGGCAGGGATTTCCTCTTAAGATAGCAAGAATAAACAGAGCAGGGCTGAGGAAAGCCATGGAAAACGGGCAGAATGCCATGCATTTAGTGAGAAAAAAACAACTTTTACTTTAGAAAGGGGGAAAGAATGGTGGTGGTCTAGGTAAGCCTAGAAGCAGAGGAAAGGGCAATGGAGAAAAAATAAACAAAACGTATGAGTCAGGGTTCTCCAGAGGGACAGAACCAACAAGATACAGGTATATGTATAAGGGAGTTTACGAGAGAGAATTGGTTCACACGGTTAGAAGGCAGTCCCACAATAGGCTGTCTGCCAGGTAGGGAAAGAGAGAAGCTAGTAGTGGCTCAGTCCAAGTCCAAAAGCCTCAAAACCAGGAAAGCCCGCAGTGCAGTCTTCAGTATGAGGCCGAGGGCCTGAGAGCCTCGGGGAAGCCGCTGGTGCAAGTCCCAGAGTCCAAAGGCATAAGAACCTGGAGTCTCATGTCCAAGGGCAGGAAGAAGGGAAGCAAGTGTCCTGCACGGGAAGAAGAAAAAAAGAGAGCCAGAAGCTTCAGCTAGCAAGGTTATCCCACCTTCCTCCGCCTGCTTTATTCTATACAGTGCAGCGTATGTACACCACTTCTGTGATATTGTTCCTAATATCCATGGGAAGAAAGAGTGATGTTACTCCCAATAGCGTATGGGGGTGTACATCCCTTGTGATATTATTCCTAGTATGCAGGGGCAGGGAAAGGATGACATTACTCCCAATATCGCAGAGGGTGTACTCCCCGCCTTGTGATATTGTTCCTAACATTTAGGGGATAGTGGGTGATATTACTCCCAATATCACAGGGGGTGTGCACCCCCCGTGGTATTCTTCCTAATATCCAGGGTGGGGGGAGAGGTTTATATTACTGTCAATGTCACAGGGGGTGTACATCCTCCCGTGGTATTGTTCCTAATATCTGGGGGGGGAGAGGATATTACTGTCACTATCACAGGGGGTGTAGACCCCTTCAGTGATATTTTTACTAATATCTGGGGGGGAGAGGATGATATTACTGTCAATATCGCAGGGGGTGTACACCCC